>NC_000012.12:46096491-46248006 GCF_000001405.40 Homo sapiens | reverse complement strand
CTGGTGGTGACAAAATCTCTCAGCATTTGCTTGTCTGTAAAGGATTTTATTTCTCCTTCACTTATGAAGCTTAGTTTCGCTGGATATGAAATTCTGGGTTGAAAATTATTTTCTTTCAGAATGTTGAATGTTGGCCCCCACTCTCTTCTGGCTTGTAGAGTTTCTGCTGAGAGATCTGCTGTTAGTCTGATGGGCTTCCCTTTGTGGGTAACCCGACCTTTCTCTCTGGCTGCCCTTAACATTTTTGCCTTCATTTCAACTTTGGTGAATCTGACAATTATGTGTCTTGGAGTTGCTCTTCTTGAAGACTATCTTTGTGGTGTTCTCTGTATTTCCTAAATTTGAGTGTTGGCCTGCCATGCTAGGTTGTGGAAGTTCTCCTGAACAATATCCTGAAGAGTGTTTTCTAACTTTGTTTCATTTTCCCCATCACTTTCACGTACACCAGTCAAACGTAGATTTGGTCTCTTCACATAGTCCCATATTTCTTGGAGGCTTTGTTCATTTCTTTTTCCTGTTTTTCCTCTAAACTTCTCTTCTCACTTTATTTCATTAATTTGATCTTCAATCACTGATACCCTTTCTTCCACTTGATCGAATTGGCTGTTGAAGCTTGTGCATACATCACATAGTTCTCGTGCCATGGTTTTCAGCTCCATCAGGTCATTTGTGGTCTTCTCTACACTGTTTATTTTAGTTAGCCATTCATCTAATGTTTTTTCAAGGTTTTTAGCTTCCTTGTGATGGGATAGAACATCCTCCTTTAGCTTGGAGAAGTTTGTTATTACCGACCTTCTGAAGCCTACTTTGGCCAACTTGTCAAACTCATTCTCCGTCCATCTTTGTTCCATTGCTGGCGAGGAGTAGCCATCCTTTGGAGGAGAAGAGGCGCTCTGGTTTTTAGAATTTTCAGCTTTTCTCCTCCATTTTTTCCCCATCTTTGTGGTTTTATCTACCTTTGGTCTTTGATGTTGGTGACCTACAGATGGGGTTTTGGTGTGGATGTCCTTTTTGTTGATGTTGATGCTATTCCCCTCTGTTTATTAGTTTTCCTTTTAACAGTCAGGTCCCTCAGCTGCAGGTCTGTTGGAATTTGCTGGAGGTTCTTTCCAGACCCTGTTTGCCCAGGTATCACCAGTGGAGGCTGCAGAACAGCAAATATTGCAGAACAGCAAATATTGCTGCCTGATCCTTCCTCTGGAAGCTTTGTCCAAGAGGGGCTCCTGCTTGTATGAGGTGTCAGTCAGCCCCTACTAGGAGGTGTCTCCCAGTTAGGCTAAACGGGGGTCAGGGACCCACTTGAGGAGGCAGTCTGTCTGTTCTCAGAGCTCAAACATCATGCTGGGAGAACCACTGCTCCCTTCAGAGCTGTCAGACAGGTACGTTTAAGTCTGCAGAAGTTTCTGCTGCCTTTTCTTCAGCTATGCTCTGCCCCCAGAGGTGGGGTCTATAGAGACAGCAAGCCTTGCTCCGCTGTGGTGGGCTCCACCCAGTTCGAGCTTCCTTGGCTGCTTTGTTTATCTATTCAAGCCTCAGAAATGGTGGACACCCCTTCCGCTGCCAGGTTGCTGCCTGGCAAGTCAATCTCAGACTGCTGCACTAGCAGCGAGCAAGGTTCTGTGGGCATGGGACCTGCCGATCCAGGCGCAGGATACAATCTCCTGGTTTGCTGTTTGCTAAGACCTTTGGAAAAACGCAGTATTTGAGTGGGAATGTCCTGTTTTTCCATGTACAGTCTGTCACGGCTTCCCTTGGCCTGACGAGGGAAATTCCCAGACCCCTTGCACTTCCTGAGTGAGGCAACACCCCGCCCTGCTTCGCCTCACCCTCTGTGGGCTGTACCCACTGTCCAACCAGTCCCAATGAGATGAACCAGGTACCTCAGTTGGAAGTGCAGAAATCACCTGTCTTCTGCTTTGTTCACGCTGGGAGCTGCAGAAGGGAGCTGTTCCTATTTGGCCCTCTTTGAACGGACCGTGACAGAGATCAAGAAATAATATTTTTTAAAAGATCCTCTTCTGTTCTTGAAAATGCTTACAATACAATACACAATTTAAAAAGTAGGCTAAAAACAATCTAAAATCACCAATGCTAAATTAAAAAAGAGAAGGAAGAGGGACTAGAGCTAAAGAAAGGAAATAAAAATAAAAAAGGAAGAAAAATCTCAACAGTGGCCCATTTGGGGGTGGTAGAATTTCTTTTACAATATCTGTTCTGAAGATTCTACAGTGAGTATGTGTTACTTTTATTTATTTTTTGAGACAGGGTCTCACTCTGTTACCCAGGTTGGAGCATAGTGGCATGATCACAGCTCAGTGGAGTCTTGACCTCCCCAGGCTCAGCGCACATGTCTTTATGAGGTGGTGATTTCATTTTCTTTGGGTGTATATCCAGAAGTGGGATTACTGTGTCATATGAAACAGTAAAGTTCTACTTTTAATTTTGTTAGGAACCTCCATACTGTTTTCTATAATGGTGCACCAAACTACCTTCCCTCCAACAGTGTACAAAGATTTCCTTTTCTCCATACCCTTGCCAACACTTGTTATCTCTTGACTTTTGATAATGGCTGTCCTAAGAGCTGTGAGGTGATAGCTCATTGCAGTATGGATTTGCATTACCCTGACAGTTAATAATGTTGAGCACCTTTTCACATACTTGTGGCCATTTTTATGTATTCTTTGGAGAAATGTCTACTAATACTTTCTCAAAACCACTGACCTAGCTTATATAATTGATTCTCAGGAGTTGAGCTAGCAGAGGTCTGATTATATTAGTTCTTCACAATAAAAAACCAATGATGATTCATAACAAGTTTTAGAATTAAGTGTATGTGGCAAGATATGTAGTGCTACCCAATTTTTGTTATTTTTTGGGTTTGATAGTGATGCAGTGGTATTGTTTAAGAAGGAGGTTCTTGCCTTTTAGAGATTCTTGCTGAAATATTTATAGATGATATGTTATCAAGGACCTGCTGCAAAATAATTCCAGGTGATGGTGGGCATAAAAAAATCTAACAAGACAGGCCTGAATTGATAATTGAAGTTGGTATATGGGAGTTCATTATACCATTGTCTACTTTTACATGTGTTTAAAATTTCCAGTAATAAAAAAAATTTTAAGGGAGAAATAAAATGAAGGATATCAGTCAGGGTTTAGTTTCATTTAACAGAGATCTGTTTACGCTAAGGAAAACAGATTTAATACAGGGAATTCAGTGCCTAAAAATTTGTTAAAATTACTGGCAGTGCAGGCCCTAGGCTGGGCCTCTAGGAATAATTAACATAACACATTCAACTGGCTTGCTAAGGTTAAATGCTATCTGTGCCTCCTTCAGGAAGTCTGGAAATCAGGAAGCCATTATCTCAAGTGCATGCTAGAGGAACACATCACTTGAGCCAAATCTGATGATCAAGAATCATAGCCACAACTGTTGGCTCCAGGGCTACCTGCTGCTGCAGCACCTGCTAGAATGGTACCAGTAAAGTGGATGCCTTGCTCTGGCCACCACCACTCTCCCATTGGTGGAATCTAAATTATATCTAGAAACCTAGCTGCAAGGGAGTGTGGGAAATGTAGTTTTCAACTTTCTGTCCTTTATAGAACTGGACTGAAAAGAGGTGGGAACAAATATTGAGTGGACCAATCCACCACAAAGTGTTAGCAATTAGGCTGCCAGTACTGTCCTTGGTACAAGGAAAGTCTTCTCTCTCCCCCAGTCTAATATTACCTATTGTTAGACACAGTTCAGGTCCTATCTCTTTATTAAATTAAGACTTACCTGATCTCTCCTGGCCTCATTGATTTCTCCACCGTTCTACTTTCCTTTCTTCTTTCCTTCCTTGCTTCCTTCCCTCCTTCATGCATGTATGCACTGTGTAGGTATGTGTGTCTCTGAACCAGACTTATTCTTCGTTCTGCCATGTAGTTTAGTCTATATCATGCAATTGTTTTGAGGTACAGTGTCATTTTAGATGGGTTGGTCTTGCTTGGTTAAATAGGCTCTAATTGACTTAAGGCCAGATAAGTTTCTTTGTGTATCCTCTCCTTTGATCTATAACGCCATGCAGTATAAATAGCAAGATTATGTATTTTACATTGGTACTATTAATAAATTGTACCAATAAGCATAACAAGAAATTGATGCCTTCCTTAAGTACCTCACAAGGTTGTGGTAAGGATCAGAAATGTTCTGTGCTAAATAAATTGTAATTCGTAACCTATTATAAATGTTGACAGATAGTAATTACGGTTGTGTTAACACCAAGATCTTCACATGATGACCCTAGTCTGCCTTTTAATTAATCGTATAGCCTGATGATTATTTCTATTTTTCAGTGAAACTATAGTTCTTTGTTTCTTGAACTCAATCTGCACTTCCTGCCTCTGTGCCATTGACCATGTTCTCCCTCCACTGTGAAGTCTCAGCTCAGGCCCCATCTCCATCTGTCAGTCTTCTCTCCACCAAGCAGTCTGAATGTCCAGCAATAACCAGTTAGATGTCAATTTCTGGCAGAGTTAACCAAGTATCAACAGTAATGGTGTAGACCTGTGCTTACTGACATAACTCAGGATAGGAAATGATATCTTGTTAAGTGAAAAAAATGTTTTAAAAACTCAATGTTTGGTATCATTTCCATTTTTGTAAATGTGTATATATTTTTTATTTGTGCTCATTCTTTCATTTGACAGATATTTATTGAGTGTCTACTGTGTGCCAGGCACTATATCTATGTGCATAGAAAAACCCTGGAAGGCCATACAACAATATATATAGAGTGATCGTCTCTGCTTGCTGAGCTAACAGGTGAACTTTTTTCTTTTTGCTCATTTTATTCCATTTGAAAAATTGTATTTTCTAACTTTTCTACCAAACCTATATTAGTTAATTAATTAATTCATTTATTTTTTAATAAATTAGTATTTATTAATAAATAACTAATATTTTTTAGAATAATCACTTCTGTTCTTCAAAATGCTTACAATATGATACTCAATGAAAAAAGTAGGCTAAAAACAATCTAAAATCACCAATGCTAAACTTAAAAAAGAGAAGGAAGAGGAGCTAGAGCTAGAGAAAGGAAAGGAAAAGAGAAAAGGAAGAAAAATCTTAACAGTGGCCCATTTGGGGGTGGTAGAATTTCTTTTACAATATCTGTTCTAAAGATTCTACAGTGAGTATGTGTTGCTTTTATTTATTTTTTTGAGACAGGGTCTCACTCTGTTGCCCAGGTTGGAGCACAGTGGCATGATCACATTTCAGTGGAGCTTTGACCTCCCTAGGCTCAGATGATCTCCCACCACAGCCTCTCAAGTAGCTGGGACCACAGGCACGTGCTACACACCCAGCTAATGTTTTGTTTTGATTTTTTGTTGTTGTTTTGTTTTTTTGTTGTTGTTTGTTTTTTGTAGAGACGGGGTTTTGCCATGTTGTCTCAAATTCTTGGGCTTAAGTGATCTGCCTGCCTGGGCATCCCAAAGTGTTGAGATTACAAATATGAGCCACCATGCCCAGCCATTGTATTACTTTTAGAATTAGGAAAAAAAAATTTCAAGGTCCAATCCAAATGTGACTTTTCTATGAAGCTGCCTGAGATCCCTGCATTTAACATTTTTTAAGCTTTTTCAATCCCTTCATCACT
The DNA here is from genome assembly GCF_000001405.40 of Homo sapiens. Taxonomy (NCBI): domain Eukaryota; kingdom Metazoa; phylum Chordata; class Mammalia; order Primates; family Hominidae; genus Homo; species Homo sapiens. Next base: position 46,242,364 of record NC_000012.12, on the reverse strand, counting down.
TAGTGCTCAATAAATATATGATAAGTTGAACTGATACTATTTTTGCAAGTGTGGCCTTGGTGATAGGTGTCATTAATTTTGTTAATTTTTCTCTTCAATTTCCATTTTGATTTTCAAGAACAAGTTAGGTTTCAGAGAGGTTATTTAATAATAATAAAAAATTATTCTTTGTGATTAATTTGTACTAGTATTTGCATAATATTGACCTAATTTTAGTGACCAGGACTTCATCTGTTGTTTTCATTCTTTTGCCTTCTTCTCTGTTTCTTACTAGTTTTACACACGTGCACGCGTGTGTGATATGCATACACACACTCACATATATATACATACATATGTATTTTTAATATGAAAATTTAAACAGTAGACTCGGGATCTATTATTAGTCAATCCTTTCTTACCGCAGAAAATTTTTTGTCTGGTGCCCTATTTCCTTCCATTTTGTAGAGAGAAAAGTCTCCTTAACCCAGATTGGAAATGCCATCCGCTGAATTAACTTTCTATCAGCCCTGTAATATCACTTCAGTAGCCTGGGATGTAGTCACACAAGAGGGAGTCAGTGTGGCAAGACTTTTAGAAATTACCCAGTCTAGCCCATTTGGACAGCTTTCATCAAAGAGGGCCAAGGGGTAAGAGTGGGGTTCAACCATTTTAATTCATTTCAGCTTTTGCAACATAAGGCAGATGGTAAAACATCACCACTGCATGAAGGTACCAGAAACAATCAGAAATGGGCCGTCTCTAGCACCACCACTGTGGTTAGAGGAATCAGCCTCAGACCAGGAGTCATGAGGTCAAATCTCCCTGTCCTGGCTCTCCTCCTTCTTGAGGAAGTGCCTTGCCCTGAAGACAAGACAAGGTTCCTAGAATCTGAGATGTTATAAACATGTGTATATTATGGCACATTACAGGATCCTGAAACCAGGGAAGTTTTATTCTAGATAGGAGACTGTGTGAATGAAAAGAATAATGTGTGGCCTGGCTGTGGAAAGAGGAAAAGAGGGGGATACCTGGAAAAGTTATCATTCTAAGGCACTTTCTGTGGGTCTTCAAAATAATAGAAATTAGTAAGATGCTTCTTGAAATATTACTTAGTTGGGCGCATTGAGGTTTGACCCTTAACTAGGCTATAGCCATCTTATGGAATTTAGGATCAGACAAAATTCAAAACATTGTCCAAGGGGATTTGCTAATGACATTTTTTTTAAAAAAAACCAGCTCATTGACATTCTGCTTGATTCCATGGTCCCCATCACTTTGCTGAGAGTATCACGGTGAGGCTCCCCATGCATTATACGCCTTGCTTTTGAAGTTGCATTTGCCTCTGTGGCCATCTGCTTTTTAGACAAGATTGGGCACATTCAGGGTGGCATGGCCATAGACAAGCCATCTGCTTTTTAATTCGTGAGGCTGCTGTGCCCCCAAAATTCTTTTTCTCCCTCCCTACTTACTATGGGTGATCCCTCAGAAACTTAAACCACAGTCATCCATATGGGAGAAAATGTGAACTCTGGAGGTTTTTCATTTCTGATGAGTAATATAGTAGCAGTTGGATTAAACCAAATCCTTTGAGTATGAGTTTTTAATTCCCTAATTCCCTGACATAAAGTGATTTCATTGAAGAGATTGATTTAATCTCTTGCAGTTGATGGATACACTACTTGCAAAATTTCAAAACATAAATTTGTTGTTTACTGGTTGACTACCAGGGTTGCGTGCTTGATCCCAGGATTTGCATTTTTCTTTAAGCTGGGATTGCTAAACCGAAGGTGCTTTTGTGTCTGTGCAGTCTGTACCAGCTATGTGTGTGCTCTGCGATCTGACACATTAAAATAACTGAATCACTTTCATTTTAAAAGCACTGCTTCAGGCCGGGTGCGGTGGCTCACGCCTGTAATTTGAACACTTTGGGAGGCTGAGGAGGGCGGATCACCTGAGGTCAGTAGTTTGAGACCAGCCTGACCAACATGGAGAAACCTGTCTCTACTAAAAATACAAAAATTTGCCAGGCGTGGTGGCGCATGCCTGTAATCACAGCTACTTGGGAGGCTGAGGCAGGAGAATCGCTTGAACCAGGGAAGCAGAGGTTGCAGTGAGCCGAGACTGTGCCATTACACTCCAGCCTGGGCAACAAGAGCGAGACTCCATCTCAAAGAACAACAACAACACTGCTTCATATCATAAAAGGGGGTCTCTGTTACCTACAGCTAACATGATATTCTTATAAACCTGATCAGTAAGATTATGGGGCATGATTCACTGTATAGTTAAAAATGGAAGGAAATCTATAAAAGGCATAAAATTTAGATACACCTCCATAACTTGATAGACAAAGATTGCTTTAATGCATCTAGTAGCAACATGTAAAATTGTATAATCAGTAAATTAACTACTTGTTTATTTGTGGTAATTTATTTTTAATCAGTAGCGTTTCATATGTTTAGTTATTTTTTTATTTTGCTATATTTTAGGGGTGTCAAGCTTCCATTTTGGTATCTACTTCTAAATACACTCAGAACAGGAGAAATTTGGACTAATTTTCAAACTACAGACACTTTCTAATCATGATGCATTTCAAAAGTGGACTCGAATTAACTGAGTTGCAAAACATGACAGTGCCCGAGGATGATAACATTAGCAATGACTCCAATGATTTCACCGAAGTAGAAAATGGTCAGATAAATAGGTGAGTATTTTTCCACTAACATTTCTATCCAGTGAAAGAAATGGCTCGTGGCTCACACCTGTAATCCCATCACTTTGGGAGGCCGAGGTGGGTGGATCATTTGAGGTCAGGAATTCGAGACCAGCCTGACCAACATGGTGAAACCCACCAACATGGTGAAACCCCGTCTCTACTAAAAATACAAAAAATTAGCCAGGCATGTGGTGCATGCCTGTAGTCCCAGCTACTTGGGAGGCTGAGGCAGGAGAATCGCTTGAACCTGAGAGGCGGAGGTTGCAGTGAGCCGAGATCATGCCACTGCACTACAGCCTGGATGACAGAGTGAAACTCTGTCTCAGAAAAAAAAAAAAAAAGTAAAGAAAAAGAAATGGTTTTAAAAATTATTCTGGTTTTTAGTTATTCTGTTGAATTATTCATTACTAAAGTTATGTTCCATTTGAAGATATAATTTGAATTTCTTATGTGACATCTGTTGGGCATAGTCTGCAATAGCAAATGAAGCAAATAGGAAAGTAATTTATTCATCTTTTAAAATCTTTCAATTGAGACTAATAAAAATGTATGAATACATTGAACCCCAACCAAGCTCTGTGTTATGAATTAAACAGACTACTGGAATTTCACTGCATCCCATATCCAAATGTGTACTACAGTCATCTGTACATATTTTAATCAAGAAATGGTCAAAGTTGCATTTGCTAATGAATCTGTGTTAAACTACAAGTGTGTCATCCTTATAAGCATCATTTGTAGTATGGATTTTAAATAATAATAATGGTTGAGCCCAAATGACTCTGTGAGGAACTATAATAGAGACATAGTACATAAAAGAAAAAGAGAAGGAAAGCGACCACAACTGAGGAGAGAAGCAATGGGGAAGAAGTAGAGGGTCAGGGTAGGAAGAGTGCTGGCCTGGAAGCTCCCAGCCACTAGCTGTGTCCTCAGGCAAGTCCTTCCAACCCTTGGGTCTTTATTGCTTACATCACAAGAGTAGAACCAAATGTCTTTTTAAAAAAATGATTTGTGGCATTCTTAGACCCACTGATTGTCTAGGTGGCTTAGCAGGAAGCCTCCAGCTTGGGAGTTAGCGGCACAGCCTCCTGAAAGATTAGGAGAAGAGAGTGACATATGCAGGACTGTTAGAACACCTACAATGTTATACTTTGGGAGGGTCAAAAGGAAATTGGGATGGAAGAGGATAAGAACATTATGTCAACTAACCAGGCATCTTTGTAGAAATCATTTCTGATGGCCTACATTCTGATAAAGTATGTGATTAAAAGCCCAGCATAGGATTTAGCTACCATCATTTATTAACACAGATGTTCTCCTTTTTTCCTCCTTTAAATGTTCTTAAGAGGTTAAGTCCCCAACTCAGACACTTTTCCTCATTATTATCCAAGTACGGTCAACTGTGCTAGGTGATGTTTCTTACTATGGGGCTCAAGTGTACTTACTTCTTTCATCTTTTTTGAGTAATTCTTAATAATAATACCCATTTCTTGAGTGCCAGGTATTTTACATAAGCTACCACATATCCTTAATAACTGCCATGCACAAGTATTCTTCTGCAAGTGAGAAAAATGTAAAGTTTCCGTTTACAAATAAGGAAACTAAGGTTCAGAGGAAGAAAATAACTTATCCAAGGGTACACACAGGTCTGTCTAAAATTTGTGTATTTTTACTCTACCCTCCTCCCTCTGGTTATAATGCTTGGGCATTGGTAAAAAGCTAGTCTTTAATAGTTCTATTAAATGCTACCAGGGCCATTTTATGTGCTGTACTCCTGGACAGTTCAGTAGTCCCTGCTGACCTCCACTGAACAGTGGAAGGAATTCTCACCACAAGTAGGACATTGTGGTTTTATAAAATTATCAAAGCAATCCATTATCAAAGCAATCCAAACCTCAAGGGCCTTAAAGGTGGGAGTCATTTATAATAGTCAGTTTAGAATCTGAACTTGATTTTTAAAAGTGTCACTTACTAAAAATGTCAAGTTTTTAGATGATTACCACTTGCAGTAGATGGGAGAAACATCTATTCTCACCCGCAACTTAGGCACCTTGCCTGGATGAGCTCACTTCCCTATAGGCTCCAACCAGGGCAAGCGTTGGTACAGAGGGAGGTCTGTTGGCTTTTGGTTCCTGTATTGCAAATGCAGTGTGATGAGTTTTTGTTTGTTTGTTTGTTTTTCTTTATTTCCCCTCCTTCTCTGACTCAGTTCATGACTCTTGCTTCATTTCTCGCTCTAACACAATTAAAAACAACATGTTATAGCATGAAGCTAATAAAGAAAAAGACCCTTGCCAATTTTATTGAAGGTCCCTACTGGGTTATCTGGCTTACTGTATTGGCATATTTTAGTAGTCCATGATTCCTGCAAAAACTACACCTAAATACCCCTCATTCTTCCTGCGGCTTTCTCAAATTTGTGGGAGGAAGGTAGGTCCAATTATATGAATCTAAGAAAACCACTTCTCCCCAAACAGTGAACTTTTAGGAAGCTGGAGAAAATGTTGAAAACAAACATTGATGGTGTGTTACTTGGCATCTAGCTGATAGCTCCGCCTGGAAACTTTGCAATTGGATACAATAAGAACCTTTTATTCTTTTAAGTTTGGTTGAAAATAAAAGTGGAGTCATTTGAGCATTCAGACATCTGCCGTTATTCCAGTTCAGTTGTTTTATTTCATGCCCAAATTTTGGGGTTGTAGTCATAGAAACCTATACCTGGAATGGCAATACCTTTTAAAATATCCATTAGACCAGTGCTGCCAACTGGTGTTTTAATGTGTGTATGAAACACTTGGAAACCTTGTTAAATGCAGATTCTGATTCTGTAAGTCTGGGGTGGGGTCTGCAATTCTGATTCCTAGCAAATTCCCAGGTGACGCCCATAACTGCTGATCCATGAACCAAACTTTGAGTAGAAAGCTCTAGACTGTTCCTCTAAATGTGAACTTCTTGTGAAAAGGGACTGTCTTAATCATCTTTATATTCCTTCTGCCTATCCTAGTGTCTAGGCAGGGTGGACTGCCTATCCTAGTGTCTAGGTAATGTCTACAGGGTGGACATTACAAATTATGTGTTGACTGAGAGAGAGAGTAAAGTACATGGCTTTGGATTTAGACTTGCATTGAATCCCAGCTCTATCATAGATCTTATTGATCTTGTGCTCTGAGCCTCAATCCCATCCCTTTAAGATGGGGATAATAATAATACCTTTCCTCATGGGATTGTTGGGGAATGTTTAATGCACTATTATCTGTAGGTTAAGAACATAGGCTCTGCACTTAGCCTGCTTATATTCAAATCCTGCCACAACAGGTTAGTTAGCCCATTTATGCCTAGTGTTCCATTATTGGAACGCTAAGCTTGTGGGACTTATTTATATCCTACTGCTCAAGGTCATTGCCAAGGTCTAATTTTTCACACATAAAAAATTGCAACCCCTGGCATAAATGGGTTAATAGTAATGTAACTTAGGTCAAGTTACTTAATTTTTCCAAACTGGGGCTAAAAATAATACCAACCACATATAATTATTGTGAAAATAAATGAGGAAATTCATGTAAAGTACTTGGCACAGTGTCTGGCAATAGTAAGCCTCTTAGTATGAGAAAAGTCTATCGGTAAAAATGCAGTCCCCTTTCTTTGGCAAGCACTTCTTTCTTCTTCACCTCAAGAAGCAATGACATTGCTCTAGGTTTTGGATGATTGCTGGTTATTGCCACCTTAAATTTGGTGAAACATTAGTAGATTATTCTAGGTGTACCCAGACAAATATGCTTGTATTTTAATATTTATCTGCTATTGTTCTTTCTGTATACTTATTGCTATTATGACCCAGGAACTATTTAACAAAATTTGAGATTTTTTCATTAAGATTTGTTTTTAAAAGAATTCGAGGCAACTCTTGTCACTACACCCTGAACCCACTTGTCTTTATATATCTTTTGGAGTTTGTGGGCTAAATTTTTATCACTTGAGAGCACCCTTGAAAAGTTATCCCTCTTCTTCTATGTTTTCTATACCTTAGGGAAGAAGATTCCATAACTTCTTTCTGTATTCAATTTTCATGTCAGAAAATTCTTCTCTTGCTTTCATTTCTCCTGTTACAATTAAAGTCTTTTTTTCCTATTTTCAGTGGAATTTGTCCATCAAATAAGGCTTTGCTTACCTCTCAGTCTTCTCTTCTCTTTAGATTCCTGTTTCTTCAATTCTCCCTTTTCATGTTTTCCAATATCTTTGTTACTTGCTTCTTCCCTTTCATTTTATTCTCCTTTTTAATACAATGTTAGCATTTCAGAGAAAGGAGTAGGAAAGGTCATTTAAGTTCAACCACTCATCTCTTTTATGTTATGAATTCTCAGAGGAAACAGTATAATCTAGTAAGAACCTGATTAAAATAGGAAGATTATCTTTCTGTTGTACAACTCATCCTTAATTAGATTGTTACTGTTGATTTGTTTCTGGTTTTAAATAACAGAACCTCTCTGTTTCTTGCCTCTCTGTTTCTTGCCTCTCTTCACAATGTACCTTAGTATAACAGCTTACATCATTTTTTAAGGCTTTGTCTGTTCAGGGTCACCCAATCACCCATTGTGGAGTTTGTTTTGTTTTGTTTGTTCACAGAGCAATTGGCTACCTAATGGTTAATTAAATTCTGTTTTATGGGTACAGACACACCCAATGAGAACTCTTTTTTTAATAATATTTTATCATCCTGAGATAACATGTCAAAGGCACCTTCTTCCATAGCATATTTAAAGTCAATAAAGAGAAATATTACATCAACTATTTTGCCAGAGGTCGTGTTTTTTAACAAGCAAGTGCATCTTTTAAATGGTGAGACAGCAGAAACTTGTGATACGCTGCTTGACCCAGTTATTTTGAATGGAATTTTCCATTACAAAAAGTTAGTTAGTTTTATGTATTTTTTAAATGTATAGAAATACAAAGCAAACACTTTGGGAGGCCGAGGCGGGCGGATCACGAGGTCAGGAGATCGATACCATCCTGGCTAACACGGTGAAACCCCGTCTCTACTAAAAATACAAAAAATTAGCCGGGTACGGTGGCGGGCGCCTGTGGTCCCAGCTACTCGGGAGGCTGAGGCAGGAGAATGGCGTGAACCCAGGAGGCGGAGCTTGCAGTGAGCCGAGATAGCGCCACTGCAGTCCGGCCTGGGCGAAAGACAGAGACTCCGTCTCAACAAAAAAAAAAAAAAAAGAAAGAAAGAAAAAAAGAAATACAAAGCAAAGATGTAAAGACTTAAAGAGAAGAAAAAGTTGAAACACCATAAAGAGAATAGGGACGCTTTAAGTACTTCATTCTTATTGAGCTAAATTTCCCTCCAGCTTAAGCTACTCCCTAATTTCTAAACAGAAGATGCATGTTCAGCTTATGGAGAGCTCCTCTGAGTTGCTAATGTGTGGTTAGGTACATATTAGAAGGAGCTGAGAGACAGCACTGGACAACCACAATTCAAGATGAGTTCAGTGTTGACAGAGTGTAGTACAGATAAAGTAATAAGTAGGTCACAGTCCAAAAATTCCAAACCAGAGTGTGGAAGACTTGTGGATGATGAGGGTTTTGAACTGATAGGGAAAGATTGGCTGAGAGGAAGAAAGAGGACCTCCTCAAGGGAAAGTGAATTCCTACTGCCATCTTGTTTTTCATTCTCTGCTCTCAGAATGCACTGATTGTATCTCAGCCCTCAGCACCTCAGGAGGAGCAGGGGGAGCTAAGATTGGAACATTGAGGCAAAAGCAAATTAAGTAGTACCTGGAATTGCAGGGTGAGGAATTTGTGCTTGAAGCTAATTCAGTGGGTGAGGCAGTGAAGATTTTTGGGAAAACCTATTAAGTCTTGTTGCAGAAAGTAGACTGAAAGAGACAGAACCAAGGAGACACTCTACAAATAATGTGTTTTAATGTGCTATTTAACGGTTACTCATTAAAATAGCTCTGTCAGTATCATTATTCTCATTATGCAGAAGTTCTGCAGGAAACAGCTGGCAGTCATACAGGGACTTATTCTTTATCTGCTTCAACTGTACAATGTTTGACCTGGCTGAATGCCCCCTCATGTCACAGTGCCTGGATCTCTTTCTTCTCTGCTCACCTATGCTTTGCTACCAACCCAGGGGAGTGTTACCAGGCCTGGAATTTAGATCTTCCATAACGGGCAGTTTATTGGTGTTTTGTTTGGTTTGTTTGAAAATATTTGCTTTTCTATTAATTTAAATATAATGGAAATTCTCTGGAAAACAAGTCCCTCCACAAGAAAGGCAAAGGAAAACTGCTGGATAGACTTAGTAGACTTGAGTTGGTTATGAAAATTAGCCAGATTAGGTCAAGCACAGTGGCTCACACCTGTAATCCCAGTACTTTGGGAAGGCGAGTTTGGAAGAATCACTTGAGCCAAGGAGTTCGAGACCAGCGTGGGCAACATAGCAAGACTCCATCCCTACACAATTTTTTTTAAAAGATAAGCTGGGTGTGGTGGTGTGTGCCCGTAGTCCCAGCTACTTGGGAGGCTGAGGCAGGAGGATTACTTGAGCCTAGGAGCTCCAGGTTACAGTGAGCTATGATTGTGTCACTGCACTCCAGCTTGGGCAGCAAAGCAAGAACTTGTCTCTAAAATAATAATAATAATAATAAAATTAGCTTGACGAAATACATTTGGCTGCCCATATCCTTGGGTTCTGCAACTGCAGATTTAACTCAGGATTGAAAATATTTGAGAAAACAAACACAAATTGACAATACAACAATTTAAAAAATGCAAATTTAAAAATATAGTATAACAACTATTTACCTAGCATTTGTATTAGGTATTATAAGTAGTCTAGAGATGACTTAAAGTATACAGGAGGATATGCATAGGTTATATGCAAATTCTATAACTATTTTATGTTAGGGACTTGAGCATCCTTGGATTTTGGTATCTCAGAAGAGAGAGGGGTATCCTAGAACCAATCCCCTACAAATACCAAGGGACACTGTACAGTCTTTTGACAACAACACTTAAATATTTTGACTCAATTTCATTTTGGAAAGTCCAGTCCCCACTTTTCTTAGGGCAGCCTGTGTGAAAGGGAAGGCTGCTTTCCCCTGCCATTCTGCAGCCAGATCTGTAAACCTTAGTTCTGTGGAAAGATTCAAAACATTAAAGACAAAAGAAAAGCCAAAGCAGTTATTAGCAGCAATGCTATATACAACCACCAGAGTTTGCCTGCAAATATATTGCTTTTATTATGTCAATCTCTTGCTAAGAACATTCTATATTATTTCTTAGGCTTTTGTCTTTTAGTTTCCTCTGGCTAATCCCAGTCTGTGCTGGTTTTTTCCTTCTCTGGACTCCTTACCTCATCTTAATCTGCACAGCCTGACGTTCCTATACTGGTGTTACCTGGTATGGTCTCTCCTTGTCCGAATGTCAGCTCTTGTGTTTCAAGAGACCAAGGTTTTTCTTCCACATCCTTTTGGTCCCCAGCAGGTCCTAGCCAAAAGCAGTGTCTGCAGATTGTATAGCTTATACCAACTGATGATCCCAGAGTAAGTTTGTAGTAAGTGTATTGCCTAACTTTGGTTATTTTGTTTGAAATAACACAAACTTGGAGAAATAATGCCTGAAAGAACCAGATCCCTTGGATAAAGATGAAAAACGTCAATGAATAAAATCAACATCAATGATACATATGTTTCATTTAAAAATGTTTTATTGTGAAATATAGCATCATTGAAAAAAGTGTATGAGGCTGGGTGCGGTGGCTCATGCCTGTAATCCCAACACTTTGGGAGGCCAGGAGTTCAAGACCAGCCTGGCTGGCATAGCAAAACCACGTCTCTACTAAAAATACAAAAATTAGCTGGGCGTGGTGGTGCATACCTGTAATCCCAGCTACTTGGGAGGCTGAGGCACTAGAATCACTTGAGCCTGGGAAGTGGAGATTGTACAACTGCACTGCAGCCTGGGTGACTGAGTGAGACTCTGTCTCAGAAAAAAGTTTATTAAAATCTAATGTACAGTTTAAATAGGCATGCATCATTGCTTCATTAAACTAGTCCAGTTCAAGTGGTTTTATATTTATTAATGCAAAATTCACTGTCATTTGTTCTAACCATGATCAGGTAATTGAATTTCCAGACTAGAAGAGCCAAAAAGCATCCTTAACATATCTTACTAATATATGCAGCAGTTTGCCTATGCCTGGACTTTTAATTTCATTTAATTTTTTATTTTTATAGATTTAGGAGGTACAAGTCCAGTTGTGTTACACAAATATAATACATAGTGGTGAAGTTTGGGCTTTTAAAATAGTAAACGTTGTACCCATTGGATAGTGTTTCATCCCTTGCCCCCTCCCACCTTCCCCTTCTTTGGAGTCTCCAGTGTCTATTATTTCACTCTCTATGTCCACGTGTACCCGTTGTTTAGCTCCCACTTATGAGTAAGAACATTCAGGTTTTGATGTTCTGTTTCTGAGTCATTTCATATAGACCTTCAGCTCTACCCACGTTGCTGCAAAAGACATGATTTTATTATTTGTTATGGTGACATAGTATTCCGTGGTATACATCTACACTACATTTTCTTTATCTAGTCATCTGTTGATGGACACTTAGGTTGATTCCATGACTTTGCTATGGTGAATAGTGCTGTGATAAATATATGAATGCAGGTATTTTTTTGATATAATAGTTTCCTTTCCTTTGGGTAGATACCCAGTAGTGGGATTGCTAGATGGAATGGTGTTCTATTTTTAGTTCTTTGAGGAATCTTCATACTGTTTTCCATAGAGACTGTCTTAATTTAAGTTCCCACCAATGGTGTATAAGCATTCCTTTTTTTCCACATCCTCGCCAACATCTGCTGTTGGAGTTTTCTTTGACAAAATCATTTGTTGGATAATTTTTTTAAATTAGAAATTTAGGCTATAAAGTTTTGATACTCACCCTGAATATATTTGATGATTCTTAAAGAAAGCATTTTAAATTCTTACTTCTGTATATTTGTACATCATTTACTCCATTTAGCCTGGCTGAATTGTTCCCATCTCAAGTCCTATTTTCCCCATGGAGAAGACTGTCTAACATCTATTGCTGTTACTCTGTGCCAGGTGCTGGACTGATGTTTAACATGTACTCTCTCATTTAAGTCTCCCAATAACTTGATAAGATGATGTAATAGTGTTAACTTCTGTTTCCCAGATGAGGAAACTAGGGTAGCATGCTCAGGCCCTCAGAGATAGTGAGGATTTGAATTCAAGTTCTAAGTCCCTTGCTTTCTCAAAGCCTTGGCTCTGACCCTCACCATCGACCATATGCCTTGCCTCCCACCGTAATTTCCTAGTCTGAACTCCTGTAGCCTCCTGTTTGCATCACTTATTACCTACCCCCGTGTCTCCCCAGTGCCTGTTCCAGTGACTTGCATATAGCAGGCGCTGAAGGAATGTCTGACGGTGAAACAGTTCTTTTCTTTTCTGCAAGGGAGAGGGAATTTCTATTTAACAATTTTGTAGTCCAAGAACCTGAGCTCAAAAGAAAACTTGCCTCTAGTATCCTTTTAAATACCAGGTTTATAGTAGTCTTGATATTATCTAATTTTCCACTTAGGGAAAAACTATACAAAAATTAATTTATGTTGCATATAGTGTTTAAATTTATTATTAAAATGATTCAAAATGTATAGCTGTTTTTGACTTACGGTTGTCTTTCATTTCATCTCAAGATGAGCACCTGTTATTGGCATTGTTTTGTACAAGGTAGAGTGCAGGATATAAAAATGAATGAGGCAAAGTGCCTGCCCTTGGGGCACTTATAGTTTATTTGGTAAAACGAGAATATAGACAACTCATAATGGCAAAAGAAAAAAAGGTGGGGGGAGTTGGTGGTTGAATAGGGCTGTAAACTCTTAGAGAGCTGATTGGTAACTGTTCATGTATGTTTTGATGAGTAACATATCATTTAGTAAAGATGTCAAGCTTCAAATCATTATCATAAGGTTAAATATATTACGCATGTCTTTACAGCAAGTTTATTTCTGATCGTGAAAGTAGAAGAAGTCTCACAAACAGCCATTTGGAAAAAAAGAAGTGTGATGAGTATGTAAGTATCATTATAATGAAGTATGCTTATTTTTTTAATCATATAAATTGGGACAAATCTTTTTAATTCAAGTAGCATAGTACCAAAAGCATAACTACCTGTATTCACCAGGATATTCCTCATACCTTATGTATTTTCTCTTGAAATCCATTCAAGGAAATAACTAGATAACTAAGAATGGATTTTCTTGAATTTTACTTCCATATTGGTTCCTGAGAGTGCATTAAAGGCTTTGGCTTGATGAACTTTCTTGGGGATTATTTTGCTTAGTGTCAATGTTTGTTTCTTTGTTCAGATTCCAGGTACAACCTCCTTAGGCATGTCTGTTTTTAACCTAAGCAACGCCATTATGGGCAGTGGGATTTTGGGACTCGCCTTTGCCCTGGCAAACACTGGAATCCTACTTTTTCTGTGAGTATTGACGTGCCGGTACTTTCCATTTTAAAACTGAACTTTTTGTATGTTTCTGTTATTACATAGAAGAAATGTGAAATATTTATAAATAGTTTTTTTATTAACTTGGCTAAGTTACAAGTACATACTTTGATATTTATTGCTTGAGTGATTTTCCAAACTGTACCTAATGCTTACAACAAAGAGGAAGGAGAAAATCTTTTTATTAATCAAAAATACTGAAATAAGCATTTGTGAAAAGGATTAAAACATTTGAAAATAACTTTTTTTGGTATTTTTGGAGTCTACCTGTGACTTTAAATCTCAGTTAAAATATTAAGAGGTGTTTAACCCCAGCCAGTCACCACTTTGGCATTTGGATTGCTGTGAAGCGTGTACTACATCAAAGGGCAATTACAAATTTGTTTGTAATAAATATTCAAGAAGCATAGAAATTTTCAGTGTTTTGAAGATGAGAAATTAGCATGTACTTTCCCACTGAGATTCAATGAAAAGAAAATGGGCAATTTTCTTTTTAAATAACTTTATCTCAAACTGTTGAATGGGACTTTCTGCAAATGTATGGAGGGCTTATTTTTAGTTGGAACAAGATTAAGAGAGATGATAGAATTTGTACTAAGAAAATTCTCGCCCAGCCTGATTCCCTCTCAAATGTCACACGAGTGTCAGTGGTGAGGTGAGGGAGAAAGCACTTCTCCGAGGATCTTGCCTTTTGTTCCCTGACTTGAAACTCACGCTTTTCATTGGCCTGGCTAGATAGTCCTTGTTGCCATGTCCTTTTGACAGGAGCATCATTTCCTTACAAGCAGTGACCGAAATGGTTACTAATCCTACAAACTGTGGATATCCTTTCAAAAAAGACATCAAAAACTGAGATAAAAGAATATTACTGCCCATTCCATTACTCCAGGAACAGAAATGCCCATCCATGCTGCCCTGTGTTAGGCATTAATTTTGTGTGTGTGTAAATTAACATGTCCTTTCTAAAATTAAAAGACTGTGTAAGATGGTGAATTCGATACATTGTCTTCCATATTGTCAGCCTAATTCAGTGAACCTAACTCTAGCCTCCTCTCTTGATCACTCTGAATGCATCTTTCTAAGTTGCCTTTCCGCTTGAGCTGAGTGCCAGGTTTTAGGGTAATATGGCAGAATTGGACAACATATTTCTATGGTGATTTTTTTGAGTATATGTGAAATTCTGACTCTCTGAGGATAGTAGACTGCTTGAGGAGCTACACTTCTGGTTTTCAGTGCATTTACATGAGACACCTGAGCGCTACTCCCAACTCCTCTTCTAAATGGCTATGTAGTTTTAAGCAAGTTTCTTAGCCACTCTGAGCTTCAGTTCCTTCCTCTTCAAAACAAGGAAATTGTGCAAGAAAAATTTCAGAACCAGGCCAACCTCCAAAACGCTATGGTTCTGTGACTATTTTCAGTCATTCCAAAGCTGGGAATATGTTCACTTCAGAATGTGTATTACATTGATTTCTTTTTTTAAAAGTTATTGCAATATGTCAAGTTATAAATTAACCTAGTGTAAAAAGTCAATTCTTTGATGGTTGTAACAACAGTAATTCTTGTATCTCTACAAGAGATACAAGTAGTATCTGGTAGTGCCAGGCATTATTCCAAGTGTTTTATGCAGAATCCTTACAATAACTCTATGAAGTAGCTGCTATCATTAATTTCCTGTTTCACAGATAAGGAAACTGAGGCATAAAGGGTAGCTTTAATTTTGGAATCTCTCTTGATCACCCTTCTGAGGATTTCCTCTACCTCTCTTCTTTGCTAGATCCATTGTTTCCTATATTCCATTTATTATTCTTTCTGGATTTACTTATGTGCTGTTATTGCTCAGAAAAGGTGACTGAAAATAAAATTTTTGAGACCTTTATTTCTGAAAAATATTTTTATTCTACTTTTACCTTTGATTGGTAGTTTGGTTGGATATAGAACTTTATACTAGCAATAATTTTCCTTCAGAATTTTGAAGGTATTGCTCTATTTCCTTCTAGCTTTTTTCTGTTGTGAAGTCCTATATGCTTCTGATTCCTGATCTTTTATATATAGCCAGGTTTTGTTAATTTTTTTTTTTTTTGGAAACTTGTCAAATCTCTTAGTTCCCAGTATCCTGCAGTTTCACAATGACGTGCCTTGATGTGGGCCTGTTTTCATCAATTGTGTCAGGCATTGGGTGCAATCTTTTCTTTTAGAAATCCATGGCCTTGGCCGGGCACAGTGGCTCATGCCTATAATCCCAGCACTTTGGGAGGCTGAGGCCGGTGGATCACCTGGCAGTTTGAGACCAGCCTGGCCAGCCTTGCCAACATGGTGAAACCCCGTCTCTACTGAAAATACAAAAAATTAGCTGGGTGTAGGGGCGGGCACCTGTAATCCCAGCTACTCAGGAGGCTGAGGCAGGAGAATCGATTGAACCCGGGAGGCAGAGGTTGCAGTGAGCCGAGATTGTGTCCAACCTGGGGGACAGAGCAAGATTCCGTCTCAAAAAAAAAAAAAAAAAAAAAAAAAGGAAATCCATGACCTTCAGTTTGGGAAATTTTTTTACATTATTGTGTTGATGAATTCCTATTACCCCCAGATTTTGGACCTTCTAGACTAGTCCTCTAATTTTTTTAATCTTTCCTTTATTTTCATTTCTATAACGTTTCACTGTAATTTTTGGGATATGTCCTCAATTTTTCCCCTCTTTATTGAATTTTTTATTTCTGTTACTATATTTATAGGAGCTTAAAAACTCTAAGAATGTTTCTTTTTAATATTATTTTGGTTCTGTTTCATGATTTCAATATCTTCTCTGAGGATTCTAATGATAGTTTTTTTTCTGCATTATGAAAAATTTAAAACATGAAGTAGAGAGAATAGTAGAAAAAGATTTGTATGTTTCCTTCCTTCTATGGATGGTTGTTTTAGTCAGTCCCCCACCAAGATTGTCTTGAAGCAAATCTCAGCTATTTTATTATTTCATCCCTAAATATTTTAGTATATATCTCTAAAACATAAGGACTCTTTTAACTCAATATGTCATACCTAGAAACAAGTCAACAACAGTTCCCTAATATCATCAAATATACAATCAGTATTTAAATTGCTTTGATTATGTTATGTTTTTAAACATATGGGTTGTTCAAATCAGTACTCAGATAAGGTTCACACAGTGCAATTGGTTGATATGTATTTTAAGTCTTTTTTAATTTATATTTTCCCATTTCTTTCCTTTTATTCTGTGCCACTTATTTAAGAAACAGGGCCATTTGTGTAAAGTTTTCCACAATCTGGATTTTGCTGTTTGTATCCCTGAGGTACAAGCTGATTTTTGTTTGTTTTGGGGTCTTTCACCTTAGACTCTTTGCCCAGATGTCAGATAGTTCCTCTTTATCTGCTGTCTTCAAGAATGGGGGGAAAACAAGGCTGATTTGAGCCTGGCGCACATGAGTGGGGCTTGTTCGCAATAGCTTCACTTAAGATGCTATTTACTTAAGATGTTCCTTTACTTGGGAACCACCAGGGTCATTTGTCTAAGACCCTCTTCTTTGGCTGTTCAGATCACCCAGAGAACAGCTCCCAATCCCCTGTTCTGGGGGCCTAGACCTCACCGCCATCTTTCTGGGAACCAAGTAGGGGGAAAGGGCTGGAATGATTATCCCAGCAGGCATGTGTTCACTCAGTTCCCAATTTTCATTAGAGTATGCCTCTTGCCCACAAATTGTGCCTAGTCTCTCACCTAGAAACATATATTGTATACTTTCCAGAGAACATATATTCAGATTGTTGCCAGGATAGGGGAGGACCAACCAGTCAGCTTTATGGAGTAGGACCTGGTCTGGGGAATCTAGCTATTTCTTGAAAAAAGTTCAACAGATCCTCACTATTTTAGCTCACCCCTTCCATTATCCCCAACTTTCAGTCATGCCAGCAGTGCCTTTTAGAGATTCTCTGAGGTAAACTGAGTTGGTCTTGGCTTTTTCCACTGCCGATTTATGGTTCAGGTCTGTCTGCTTTCCAGCTTTCAAAATTTCATTATTGTCTACTATTATATTTTATCCTAGCAGCTTTACGCCTTAAAAAAAATCTTTTTACTGGGATATCAAGGGAGAGGGAGTAAGTCCTTGTATTCAATCTACTATTCCTAGAATTCAATTGATTTTTAACTATACTGGCTGAGGGATAATTGACCTCCTATCTCATGACACTTTAGTGTCTGATTAAAGCGGGGAAGTGGAAAAATTTACTTTTGTAGTTGAAGGAAGATTTTTCCTGGATGAAACTATTATAGATCATTTAGTTATTTGTAAGATTCATGGATAACAAGCGCAACACACCAAGTCTTCAGCTAAATCTCATGAAGGTAGTTGTACAAAGGCTCAAACTTTAAGTTTCTCACTAAACTTAGGACTCTCCTACCTCAGGACAAGGATTCACTCTGTGACTCTTGTAAAACCAGCTGCTCCTACAACTGCTCAAAGCCAAGAAGCAGTTGGCAGGATCAAGATATTTCATCTGGTACAGGGCTCCATTCCAGACTCACATTGGCCAACACAGGAAAGGAGTCCAAGACTGTCCAGGCTTCTTTGGACCAGCAGCTGGGAAGGCTCCTTAGTGTCTCCCTGAGGCTGGGTGTGGAGCCTTCTCTGCAGTCATCTGGAAACTTGTTGGTGCGATTTCTTTTTCTTGGATGAGTTTGCAGCTCATTTTTTTTTAACCTATCCATAATGGCTGTCATCCCTGTTTAACACACTCTAATTCAGTTAGATTCAGTGAGTCCTGTCCTGTTGTAAGAATGGTGCTGGATTTTGCATTTTTCTGAATTCTGAGGATGCTGGTGGGCACTCTCGATTTATCATAGTTCTGCAGGTATATATCCTCTATGGGTAACAAAGTGAGGCTGGACCCTGAGGCTGCAAGTCAGGGATGTACTGAGGCACAAGTACCTCAGGGTAAAGAGTACTTGTTGAGCTGTTTTCCTGGGAGTGAGGACCCAAATAAAAGGCAATAGATGCTAAAGGAATTTCCTGCCACCATAACTTCCTCTTTATCTGAGTCTTACCCATAACTCCATCATAGCAGAAGTAGGAATTAGAAATCAATATTGACATGGAAGAATGGTGGGTTTTGTTTTGTTACATTTTGTTACATTTTCTGAAGATTTCTATTAAAGGCATACATTTTACAGGAAATTAATCTCTAGAACACATCTCATAGTACTAGGTAAGTATGATGTTTATTACACTACACAGAATCTGATAAAGCAATAAATGCTTTTTATTTTTCCATAACTTCTTAACATGTATTATTATTTTTATTTTAATAATGTAGTCCTTAAGTTGAAAACCATGAAAAACAAAAGTAGAATTCACGACACTTCTGAGATATCAGTTTATTATTAACACTGAGTTTGTGAACAATCTCTTTGAAATGTTAATTGTGAAACAAAAGTACAATGTGTGTAAAACAATAGTTTAAATTTTATTTGGTTGATTATAATACCAGACCTTTTGGATTCTTTTTTTCCATTTTCTATCTCATTTGTGTTGTGGTTGTGGGAGTGAAAAAGATAATTTATCTAAAAACAGACTTTGAAAAGTGGCATGCAAGGAGACTTTTATTAGTACCAACGCATAGAGCTACTAGGAAGAATAAATGAGTGGGGTGTGTGTGTGTGTGTGTGTGTGTGTGAATGTGAGAGAGAAAGAGAGATGGAGAGAGTGATAGTAGTGCGTGGTGCATAGTACACACTGTAGATATTTGTTAAAATACTACAGTTAGTATTAGGTAGTCACTAAATAATGGCTAACATTTACTGAACAGTATCTATATATGCTACACTATCTTAATCCCCACCAACAACATTATGAGGTAGGTATTAGCCCCATTTTACAGATAAAGTAACTGAGGCTTAATAACTTACCTGTGATCACACATTAGAAAGTAGGGGAGCCAGCGTCCCATCCAGGCTTGCTTGACTCTAGAGCCAGCGTGATCTAAAACACCATACCGCCTTTGGTGATGCCTTCTTCAGACACCAAAGTTGCATTATTACTCTACAACTTGAGAAAAACTTTATTTTTATCAACGGATGCTTGCAAGTTAGTACTTACCTTTTACTTTCCAATATAATGTACCTTTAAAATCACCTTATAAAATCAGCCAGTGTTCCTGAATTATCTTGCTAGTGTTCCACCAATAACCATCCCCTTTACTGTCATGAAAACAGCTTGGCAATATCAAGTGTACCAAACTGTAGACCGAGGATGTCAGGTTCCTGTTCACAACAAGTAAAATGTATGCTTAAAGTATATTGTGAAACCAATAAACCTCTCAGTGGCTTCATATTTGTCATGTGGGTTCCTGCATGTGCAATTTAAGATTTCCCATTGCTTTCAGGAGCTGTTGAACTCCTGAAAGAAGTAACTAAACATTTTGTTATTAAGAATTAAACACCAAGTGATAGCAAAATCAAATAATACCAAGTTTAACCCTAGGAAACTTGTTAAATAACCATGGTACTTTCATAAAATAGAGTATTAGACTACTACTTAAAAGAGTAAAATAGACTTATATGGGCAGGTGAGGAAAAATCTCCTAGGTTGTAACGGGGAACATAGTGTGTAGCACTATGTTACTGCGTAGCATAGTATTATTAATACTGTGTAGCATAGTACTATTACATGAATACAAACTGAATATTGGGTGGAAGTGAGCATGGAAGGAGGGTGTGTCTATATGTATACATTATATTGCCCAGAATATTTGGGGAGGGTACACAAGAGAACTGTTGGCAGTGGTTACTTCTGGAGAGTGAGAAAGGGTCTAGAGGTGGAGTGGAGATGGAAAGTTTAGACTCTTTGAATTTATTTTTAACCTGCTTTTAGAGGAAAAAAAAAAGCTAGTTGAAAAAATTGGTTTTTTGAAGAACTTAACACCAGTGCAGTAAGACTTTTTCTTTTTCCTCTTACCTGCTAAAAACTTGAGAGAGAAAATATATTTTTGGTGTAGATAGTTAGACCATGAAGCTAGAATGAGGACTCTGTCAATGCTGTGCCACTTGTTCCAGACTGTATTTTCAACCTCTTTTCCCTTCAGATGACCTCAGCTTCTGCCACACTAACCTTCCCTTTTCTGTAGAGGCTGCCTGCCTTAAAACTGTTACCTTGGTCTTTCCAGAGCCCACCCGTACCCTGTCTCATCTCTGTCTTCTGAATCCTCATGGTCCTGGAAGGCCTAGATCAGATGTTATCTCCTCCAAAACTGCTTGTCTGATCCTCCCAGGTGGAAGGGAGGTCTCTCTTCCTTTCCTTTTCAGTGTCATTTGTATCTTTCTAATAGTAAGTATCACTTCCATTATTTAAGCATACATTTTACCTTCCCTATTGAATGCTGAGCCCTACAAGGGCAGGATTAATGCCAAATTCTTCCTTGTTGAAATCATCTTCCTCCCGCTAACACGATCTAGAACAGCATTTGCACGTAGCTGCTCCTCAGCAAAGTTTTACTGAAATAAGTGAATGGATATGTAAGAATTAGATTTTGCAAAACCAGAAACAAGGCTTTAGGGCAAAACAGTGGCTTTCATTATTGTTGCAAATTTATCAGAGAGAAAAAAGATCAACTGAAAGGTTTAGTTCACCCTCAGACTTTTAGTAGGCTGTGGAGATGTGATAATAATCACAGAGTCAGCATGGGACTGGCTGCTCATTGTCTACTTTCCTAGGAATGCCTCCTTCATTTGAAAATTCAAAATAGTTCTGAGACTGCTAAGAAATACTAGATGAGGTTGGTATTGCAAAAGGGCATTTGTTGTTAAATTGCTGTTTGGGAAAAGGACAGTAATTGTCATTGTCAGTTACAGCAATTATCTTCACTTTGGTGGATTGTTCACTTAATTGTAGGTGAATTCTCTGGCCCTCTCTCCCTCCCTGTCTCTCTGTCTGTCTCTCAATATTCTCCTTTGTGGGCCATTTGTAATTATCCTACCAGCAAAACTATGCACCATTGTATTGTCTATGATCCATGTTTACAAACAAATCAGTTAGTACCCCTTCCAGTAAGGATAAGTCGAAAAATATAAGGGTCTCTGTAAACTGAGATCAGACTACCAGGTCCCTTCTCTCTTTAAATTTAGTGTTTTACAATTGAGCCTACATAAGGAGTAAATAGAAATAGAAGTAAAAGTATAGACCCATCAGCACGTTGCCCTAAGTCCTTGCTTGTATGTTATGGGAATTTGATCATTATTATCCCATCACAAAAAATAGTCTTCTCATTCTATCGGGAGAATTATATTCTTAACCAATTGCACCAGCATCACTTTCTGATGTCTCTAAATATTTTTCAGCAAATTCTACTAAGTTGCAGTGAGATTGCAGCATACCTTTATACAAACTTGGCCTGCTCTTAAGCTATCGTTGCTTTATTACTTTACATATATGCCAAAAAGGTTGAATGACACCTACCAAGATAATAATTTTGCTCTCAGTGGCAACGAAGATGGTCTGTGTGCTATTTATCAAGTTATTCCTTATAAATGGTAAGTCATCTCCTCTGTGCATTCCTAAGTGAGCAGTTCTTTGCCTCCTTAGGAAATACCAAACTGGATCTTGTGATCTAAAGACAGAGCAGTTAAGAGGAAGTCAATAAGGAAACCCTACTCTTCCGGATGATCCTAGGAGGTCCATCGGACTAGTCACATTCATCTTTCCTCTTGCCAATCAGTTTCTTGTTTTTAGAATTCTTTGAGTTATAGTCACAGTTCCTTAGAAATGATTTGAAGAGAAAATTGTCCTTTGGCTGGCAGCAAAAATCATTGACATCAGAGTCTGTTGTTTGGGAGTAATAACCCGGGAGAGGGAGAAATGGCACATTCAGGCTTGCCAACATTTGAAATACATGGAAAAGGGACAGTGGCAGTGCCATTGAACTCTATTGAAATCCACTGGATTAAGAAGCTTTTCAGAAATAGGGAAATGGGAAAGTGGTTAGCATTGCGTTAACAATGAGTGCCTATTTTGTAAACAGAAATAGTTGGCATGTGTAGGAGATGAGTCCCACTCATTGTTTTTAGAAGTTGAGCAGCTATTGCTAGTTTATGAGTCGTCTGTGATGCATCTGATAAGGGGGTTCTAAGAATTCAATTCTCTTAGCCCCAGAAAGGTAGGGGTGTGTGTGCGTGTGTGTGTGCGCGCACATGCGCTAGAGTGTATACCCTGAGTTCACTCAGTCCTATTTATGCTGAGTTGCCTCAGGTGCCTTGGTCCTATCCAAGGACAGCAGTGTGATCTCTGTTTTGGTACAGTGTATTTTTCTTAGCCTGCAACAGACAACTTAACTATACTGGCTATGGTTTTACAGCATTATTTACCTCCATGATTGGTAGAATGCCTTCTCTGCTCACTCATCTGGTTTACAGTAGGCCAGGTTGGAGTTATCACAGTAGAGCAGGTTAAGTGTGGTGCAGAGAGTTGGATTTTCAAGGTTAGCTTGAACTTTTATTACTCACAGAGTGGTAGTTGGTTTAATTAGAAAACTACTCCTTTGTGGGCCAGTTAGTTTTGCTTTGTTCTCTGGCCACAGACTTTACCTTATGTCAGGCACATGATTTCAAAGATCTGCATCTATATCAGGGGTCAGCAAGGGACAGCCTGCAGACCAAAGCCACCCGCAGCCTCCTTTTGTGTGGCTGGCTAGGTAAGATTGACTTTTAATTTTATAAAGGACTTTAAAAAAGAAAAGATAGTTGTAAAGTGTACATTGTTCCATGAGATCTTTATAACAACCCTGTTAATTACCCCCATTTTATAGATAAAGAAACTGAAACTGCCTTTGCAAAATTATAACCAAGGAAATTATGACAGTGAAAGAAATCAGACCTAACCAACTCTATCTTGCTTCTAACCCTTAAGCTGTCCTTGTTCATTCCTGGGCATAGGCCGAACTAACTTTGGGAAGGAATTCAGTTCATGGTTTGACTGAAACAAAATTGGTAACAGCCCTTTTCCAAAAAGACCCCCTTCTTGCCTGGGGTCCAGTCTGCCTTTGCAGGACTAACAAATTAACTACACGATTAGAAATTACAGTTTAGGGGTCATGCAGCCTCTGGCTCCAAGAGTCTGAACCTCCCCAAATTGCTCCTCGGGGTAACATCATTATTGTAAAACCTAAGATCAGTGCTTGAGATATTTTGCAGAGCTGTACTCCATGTATCAGCTGACACCACCCAGACTGGTAATCTCGCCCAACCAGTTCTGCCATTGCACCCAGGAACAGAAGACAGCAAGAAAATCTTACTTCACCCCCCTATGATTTCATATCCAACTTAACCAATCATCACTCCCCACTTCCCAAGCCCCTAGCTGCCAAATTATCTTTAAGAACTCTGATCCCCGAATGCTCTGGGAGACTGATTTGAGTAATAATAAAACTCCGGTCTCCCACACAGCTGACTCTGCATGACTTACTCTTTCTCCATTGCAATTCCCCTGTCTCAATAAAGTGGTTCTGTCTAGGCAGCAGGCAAGGTGAACCCATTGGGCGACTACAAAACTAAAATTAACGGAGGCTAAGCAACTTGCCCAAGATGACTGACATCTGTGGGGAGGAGAGCAACAAGTCCATTGGGTGCTCCTCTTAAACCGCCTATTTCTCCTTAAATGTGTCTTGTTACCACAAAAACAGAATGGGAAAATATGAATGAAGCCCCCAATCCACCTTTCTACCGGAACAAAAGTCCCAAATACCCACCGAGAACAGCATATTCCTTTACTTCAACAGTCACATGGGATTTTTCTGTCACTCAAGAGTTAACATCTTTAGAATATGATAAAGAGTAGGGATCTAGGTTTGAGGAGAAGGGAAACGACTTGTCCTTGTGGAGTGGGAAAAGAGGAACGAGGACACATCAAGAGTGTCAAGAGTTATAAATGGAGTGCCCACAAAACCCACAGCCCTCTACCCACTATAGGTTAAAAACAGGAAGTGGTAGTGGTACATGGCGCTCTTTCTCACTGGTACAACATCCTCATTTAAGCTCAGACCTCCCTTTAACTTTTTTACAAAGAACCAACTAAACTAAAATTCTATTTTTACTGGGATACTTCTTTTAGATTCCTCTTTCTTTTGAGGATTATATTAGATACTATTTGAATTGGCCATCAGCAATGCATATTTATTTTTCTAGACAAAACAAAATACCTAACTGACAGTGAGGCTAGTTTAAGAAAAGCTTTGCACCACAGAGCTTAGATTTACCTACAAGGAAAGAAATGGAAAGAACGGTACAAATAATTGCTCTCCACCTGTTTCCTGCCTGGCCTTTTAAAACCACCCGTTTAATTCCCTAATCTAATTTGTAAGCATTATACATGATCACATGCTACAAGGTCACCGTGTGCTGGTCTTCTGACCCTCAGAATTTTGAAATTTGATCAGAATTTAGTGACTAAGAAGTCCACTTTAGGACTGAATAATTATGTTTCTACTCCTTTCTGTAAGTATTTTGTGAGCTCCTTAATCAAACAGGGATTCTATTAATGAGCTTAAGACTTAAACAAATGCAACTCTCCCCTAAAAAGGGGTTAAAATAATAATACTGTCACTTGAAAAGTTCTTTATATTTTTATTGTAAAACTAAGATAACCATTAAACCATTTTGAAAATGCATAAAATAAATGAAATAAAGTATAAAGAAAACACGCAAAGTCTCTCTGTTCGGAGTGTTCAGGCTCACCTTAGACAAGCTCCATTAACATTTCAATGTATTTCATTCTAAGATTTTTGTTTGGTCTTATTTTTTACAGTGTTATTCCACTCTGGATGTTTGACTTTGATAGACAATGCAACGTGATGGGTAGGGACTTTGGAGTCATACTACCAGGGTTTGAGTGCTCTGACACTAGCTGTGTGACCTTAGACAAAATACTTAACCTCCTTGTTACCTTATTTACCTTATCTGTAAAATAAGGATAGTAATAGTACTACTCATAAGTGAAGTATTTTAAAAAGTGCTTAGAAAGGGCCTGATATATAATGAATACCCCAACATTTGGTACTATTAATGATCAGTAAAGTGTTTTATTAATTATATTGAATCCCTTAAGGTAAATTAAAGAGCTTGACAAAACCCATTTTCATATAAAAGATCATTTTGAATTTTTCAAAATATTTAACATTTTCATATGAATTTAGGGACTCAGAACACCTTGTCCCTGTCTCTTTGCTTTTGGGCCTGCCTCTTTCCATCTGAGCTCTCATTAAACAAAGGATTTTTTTTTTTTGAAACGGCATCTCACTCTGTCACCCAGGCTGCAGTGCAGTGACATGATCTCAGCTCACTGCAACCTCCGCCTCCCGGGTTCAAGCAATTCTCCTGCCTCAGCCTCCCGAGTAGCTGGGACCACAGGCATACGCCGCTATGCCCAGGTCATTTTTTGTATTTTAGTAGATAACGTAGATACGGGGTTTCACCATGTTATCCAGGCTGGTCGCGAACTCCTGAGCTCAGGCAATCTGCCCACCTCTGCCTCCCAAAGTGCTGGGATTACAGGTGTGAGCCACCGCGCCTGGCCAGGATTCTTCTTCTGTGTCTCTTTCCTCACCACTTAAGTCTTCCATTGGCATTGCTTCCCTAGGCCAGAAACCACTATTCCTGTCCTCGAGCCTCACTGAGAGCCTCTGGTCCCTCACTTAAACCTTCTACTCATGCCCTACTTCCTGTTTCCACTGGCTGGCTGTCACACTTGCCTGGAAAACCCCTGAAGCTGTGCTTTCCAACCACACAGACACGGCGACACTAAGTTCTTGGTCTGCATTCTCAGTTGGGTCCTCCCCACAGTCCAGCCCCTCCATCATTTTCAGCTAGTGTTCTAGTCTCTTCAACAATGTTTTCAAATCTTTATACAGGTATTTCCCCTAGAATAATTGGGGGTGGGGATGGAGAAGCAGGGAGAGTTGGTGGAGATGAAAGATGAATGGGAAAGTGCAAGGTGAAGATGCAGGAGGGTTGAGACCCTTGAGAAAGGTAGACTAGAAGTAAGAGGTAGAAGAGGGTGAGGGAGAGGCCAGCAATAGCAGAAAGGAGTGGAGAAAGATAGGCTAGCCCAG
The DNA here is from genome assembly GCF_000001405.40 of Homo sapiens. Lineage (NCBI taxonomy): Eukaryota > Metazoa > Chordata > Mammalia > Primates > Hominidae > Homo > Homo sapiens. The sequence goes on along the minus strand of NC_000012.12, from coordinate 46,216,033 downwards.
AACCGATGCATTTCCTATGGTTTGTCTAAGTTCCTTGTCCTGGATTTTAAATTTTTCTTGTAAATACTCTGCCTCAACAAGCAGTATGTCTGTAAGTTTTGGAGTGAGGGCTGTGGGTTATTAGGAGACAGTGATAGATCAAAGGAGGACTAGTAATAAAGACCACTTTTACCCCAGCTCAAGGAGTTTTTATATGTACTAGCCTGCTTGTTTAATTGAGGATAGTAAAAGTTTTATACTTCTAACTGGATCTAGAAGAGGAAGAATTACATAGTTTAGTAAGCCTCAGATCCCTTTTGGAAGGAGTGAAACATGGGGGAGGGGAGGTTGAAAATAGAATTTAAATATATGTCCTGCTGAAGTAAATAATGCTTGAGGTGGGCAGATCACCTGAGGTCAGGAGTTTGAGATCAGCCTGGCCAATATGGTGAAACCCGTCTCTACTAAAAAATACAAAAATTAGCTGGGTGTGGTGGCATGCACCTGTAATCCCAGCTACTCAGGAGAGGCAGGAGAATCACTTGAACCTGGGAGGCAGAGGTTGCAGTGAGCCAAGATTGTGCCACTGCACTCCAGCCTGGGTGACAGAGCAAGACTCTGTCTCAAGAAAAAAAAAAGTAATGCTTGAGGAAGTCAACCAAAGGAAGCAGATGAGATCTTACTTTTCACACTGGAAGCTAGTCAGCATCCCACAGCAATGAGAATGATTCAGTTGTAAGTGCTTTTCGTCACTGTCACCTTACTTGGGTAGCCGTGGGGTCTGTGTTTACAGGTAACTGAGCTGCAGTGTTGGCACAGCACCTCACCACAGACAGTGTGGCGGGTGATGCACAGCACAGTGTGGTGAGAAACAGAAAGAACTGGAATGTATACACCACAAGGCCAGAGCTTAGGGCTTTCAGTTTTGCTGCTTCCAGGGAGGTCAGTGGACCAGTAGCAGCAGCAGCATCTGGCAACTTGTTAGAAATGCTGAATCTCAGGTCCCGACCCATCCATTTTAACAAGATCCTAATTTGCACACACGTTAAAGTTTGAGAATAGCTGCTTTCAACTTTGCAAGGGAGAGTCATGCTAGGGAGGGCTGGCAACGGTTCTCTCTTTTTTTGGGAGGAATGGGTCCTGGAGAAGTTGAAAGCACTCAGCTGCAAGGCAGCCCCAAACACCCCCATCTGAGCTATTTCTGGATCTGATGCAGTGACGGCTGCTTTACCTCCACCCCTACCAAAGGTTCTGATGCTGTGTTGGGAGGATGTCATATGATTTGTTGCTGTGTAGCTAGGCTTTTAAAATATAGTCTTATCTCCCTTAAAGTGTCCTGAGGTTGGTTTTTGTTTGTTGGTTGTTTTTTTGTTTGTTTGTTTTGGGGTATACTTTATATACAATAAAATTCTCCAATTTAAAGGGTGAGGTTTGTTAAATTTACCCAAATACAGTTGTGAAATCACCACCACAATCATGGTATAGAACATTTCAATCACATTAAATGTTTTGGTTTTATTTGTTGTCACAGCTTTCCACTTTATTAGCATATGGTACTTTTAAATATGAAAATAATAACATTATTCATATAATCTTTGGGTAAATTATGGAAGACCAAATAATTACAATTCTGTTAATATGATTCAAAACATTGACAAATAACGTTTTTCAAATCGATGTTTAGATGTTCGTTGTTTAAAAGATGAGTCAAAATTTTCTTGCAGCAAAAAGAGTAAATATATCTAGGACCACTGTGACAAATCTTTTTCATTTTTTCTTTTTTTGCTCATGCCACTTTGTCTAAGATACTCTCAGGAATCTGTTTAAAAATCATGGAAAGCAAGAGTATCCCCAGAGGATTAGAAATAGGCTAATTTAATCCCAACTTTCAAAAATGGCAAAAAGTAGATGCCAAGGAATAGTGTAGAGAAAATTATTAAACAGCTTGTTTATGTGCAATGACTGCAGAAAAGATTACTCTGTAGAAACCAACAAAGTTTTTCTAAATAGTCACTAAACTAATATCATCTTTTGAGATACAGTGAGCTAAGTAGATCATGGGACTATCTTCATAGAGGGAGTCTTGATTTTAGTTAAGATATTTGGCATAGTCTCACATAACTTGCCAATGAGGTTCTAATGTTTCTAAATTCACTGATTCTCAGCGAAGACTCTGTTATGTGTGTGTTTGATGTTGAAGGTAAATAGGTAAATAGTTGAATTAAACTGTCGTTGTCTGTCTTACAGTCTAGTGATGGAGACACATAATAAAGCAATAAAATAAAAAGATTACTCTGGCTGCTGGGTGGAAGACGGATGTGAGGAGACAAGATGATCACAGTTATCCAGAAATTAAGGACGATGGCTCACACTAGAGTGGAGATGGGAACAAAATGCCTATGGATTTGGGATAAATTTTGGAGATAGAAATGATAGGGCACTTGCCAATGAACTAGATATAAAGGATGAGGGAATGGGTGAGAGATAAGGTCGACTTCCAGGCTTCAAGCAGTTGGCTGGACAATGGGCCATTTCCAGATGGTCTTGTTCTATTCAAGGTTGATGCCAGTGACTTGGATGAAGGTACACTTAAGATATGAAGTTAGATGCAGTGGTTGATATATAAGTAAAAAGGATCAACAATTTAAGAAGAGATCATGAGACTTGAAAGATAAAATGTAATGTAAATAAATATAGGACTGGCACTTAGCTTCAGAAACAGACAAAAAAAGTACACAAGATAGAATCAGGAAGACAGCCTAGTAGCATTCACACCAGAAGCTCAAAAAGAATGAAAAGTGTGTGGTTGCCGTAAAAATGAATTCCAAAATAGATTACCTTGAAAGAAGAAAGATGTCTGACTCAGAGAAATTAAAAATCCTATCATGCTTTGCGCTGTTTGGACCAAATCTGATGTTATAGCATTGTGTTCATCTCAGCACACAGCCTTTAAAAAGGATGGTTGAGGAACTGGACCATGACTGAGATGTAAACAGCCCAAACACTTCATCACAAGATGAACAGTTCAAAGAATTAAAGATGTTTGAGTTAAAGAGCACAATCTTAAAATGAGCACCCTCAGGACTGTTAGGTAGGAGAGGTGTTAGATTTCAAGTAGATACAAATAGGTCCAGAAGGTAAAATGAGGACCCAAGGATAGAAGTAGCGACAGTGATTTCAGCTGAGCCTCAGTTCCAAGCACAGAACTTTTCAGAAACAGAATGGGTTGCATAATATGTCCCCTTTTAAAAGACACTTTGCAGACCTGGATGCCTGTGTGTTGGCATGGAGCATAGAGGTTTCCTGTCCTGGGTAAACATGCTGTGCTGGACTAGGTTCTCTCTGAAAGTCTCTCCCTGCTTCAGGAGTCTAGAATTCTAAGTTTCTTCTCAGGAGACTCCAAAATTTACTAGAATGTCCTGAACCACATCTTTCATAATGTTGCTGACTCAAAGACTCTTGAAGGCTCCTGACCACATTATTCGCAATTCTAACTCTCTTGCCACCCCTTCCCCATGACCCATGTACAATTACATGCTCTAGATCTTCTCCTCAAAGATGAACATAAGTCTGAAATATCAACACCTTGGCAGCCCTATTATCAATTGCTGATCTGTAGTCCCCATGTAAGTACGCCTTTTTTAGCAACCAGTTTTTGTCCCAGCCATATTAATACTTGTGGTCAGTGGTTAACAATGTTGAAGCTTAAATTATATCCAGATGAAATTTTAAAAAGGAATCACTTGTGTTCCTCTGTGTTAACACAGGAATCCCAGCATGTGTTTCTCTTCCAGGAAACCATAATTATATGTACAAATATCTACCCGGACAATTAGGGGCATAATCATGCTCTAAATAGAAGTGTTCAAACAAGTCAACACCTTCTCTCCAGTTATTCCTCTTTCTTCTTTCTCTTAGATGTCATGGTTTCTGTGTCTCAAGACATTTATGATTTGATTTTTCTAACCCTTTCTAGGTTCTATTAGAGTCAATTAGACAACATATTCCTTCTTTCTAAGAATCTGAACAAGGAGGTATACTTTTCTAAATTTTAATCCTATTAATGCCAGATTCTTGTATAGGCTAAAGTATTCTTAGAATTTTACTTTTACAGTTTGCCTCTTAGTGATCTGATAGAAAAGGGGGTTTTGCTTTATATTAATTTTCAGTCTTGGAAGAGAAGATCTACATTTGGGAAAGGACTAAGAAGAGATCCTTTGCAGATCAGACAGTTAAAGGCAAAAACTATCAGACTCTAAGTACTCTGGGGTGCAATGTTACGTCTCTTAAACATGGGAGGGGGTTGTTTTCACCACTGTGGGAGCACCTCATTCTGTTGTGTTTAAGTGGGGGGAAGAAGATAAGTGAACACTACTAAAATCTTCCCTAATCAACACTTTTCTCCGGCTTGAAAAGGGGGGATAGCAGTTTATGATGCTCAAAGGGCCAGATGCCACTGAGCATCATCTGCAAAGAGATTCAACACATAGATTGTGTTAAGACACAACCATGTGCAAGAACCGCGTGGTTGCAGAGGCTACTGACTGAGGGAACACAGCAAATGTTTCCTTAGAATGTTTCTTTTGCTAATAAATACCAAGTTCTCCAGGGTTAGGGCCTTTTGTAAATAATTGTGTAGATATTCATAATTATCCCCTCCTGCTAGGCACATAGATAGTTCCTACAAGGTCATACTCTTTATACATTAGCCTTGGGCCCATGGGAAAATCCCTTTGGTCCTAGCAGAGTAGACCCAACAGGGCACATAGTCATTCCAGAATAGCATCTGGCTCATCCTAAGATGTCACTCATTTTACTCCACTAGGAAGCCTGTGCTCTTCTGTGCCACACGGAAATCCTCTAGGGCCTGTCACATGTTCGTGTAGAAGTGGCTACTTAGCATTGTGTCCCTCAAAACAAGTGAACTCTGCAAGAAACCGAAAGCTTGCTTCTTTGACATAAATATTGCTTATCTTACTTGACGGGAAAAAAAATCATGCCACAATTAGGTCCCATATCTTATTCTGTGGCAGAGCATATCAAATCCTGTTCCATTACGTATCTCAGAACTACTGGGTTGGCTAATAAATGCTTGCTGTCCGTTTCTCACATCCCTCAACCTGAAGAGATAAGAGACCTACCCTCTTAATCAGTGTATTAGTCCATTTTCATGCTCCTGATAAAGACATTCCTGAGACTGGGTAATTTATAAAGAAAAAGAGGTTTAACAGACTCACAGTTCCACGTGGCTGGGGAGGCCTCACAATTATGGCGGAAGGCGAACAACACATTTTACTTGCCCGCAGACAAGAGAGAATTGAGAGACAAGTGAAAGGGGTTTCCCCTTATAAAAAAACCATCAGATCTTATGAGACTTATTCACTACCACAAGAACAGTATGAGAGAACTGCCCCCATGATTCAATTATCTCCCACCGGGTCCCTCCCAAAACACGTGGAAATTATGGGAGTTACAATTCAAGGTGAGATTTCGGTGGGGACACAGCCAAACCATATCAATCAGCCTCCTCACTCAAGGATTTTAGGGAAATAAGTATAGATCTGAATGTACTTCCTTACCAATCATATCTTAACCTAAATTCCTGTTTATTGGCAGATCAGTTGGGCCTCTACCCAAAGTGTTAGGTCTGTTCTTTCTCCTAGTGTTTGTTTTGCCTCTGCTGAGCTCTGCCCCTCTTTTGTTTGCTGGCCAGTTTCTGGCAGTTCATCTGTTCTGCTGTTGACCATTCTGTACTCCTGGTTTATCTCCTCATGGTTGCCCCGTATGCAGGAGAAACAAAACACTGTAGGATCATAGACAGCTGAGGAGCAGTCATTCTGCCTGGGGCCAGGGAAGGCAACTGAGGAGTTGGCATCTGAGCTGGGGCCTAGAGCAGCCTTCAACAGGTGTGCTGGGAGGGGGAAGGGCCAGGAGGAAGCAGCCCACGCAGAGCGAACGGCATGATGTGCCAAGTGCCTCTCAACAGCACTTGGTGGAAAAATAATTGCCTTTCATGACTCAAACATAGAGTCAATTGCAGTTATGTATTGTTCTAGGGATATATTTTCCCACATCAGGAAGTGAGCGGTTTCATCTGGGGACTGGATTTTTTTTCTTCTTTTTTAATAAATAGGCTTTATTTTCAATTATCATGTCTGTTTTAACCAAATGTTTCAGAAATCATCTATATAATCTCCCACATCATTTTAACTGCACTTTTTCTTGAGAAGGGTGTGATAATGACCCAGATGTACTAAAACAAAAACATGAGTTCATCATTCAAAAAAGTCTTTTCATTATACTTGATTGTCAAATTTTCCCACTGGTTACCAAGTGGTGCTTATTCATCTAAGAGGAACCAGGTGCAAAAAAAGTGAATTACATTAGTAGCCCAATATATAGATTTTAAAATAGCCATGAAGTAATAGATGAAAAGAACCCTAGACATCATTTGGCTTGTATCTTTATATTATGGGCAAGGAATCCAGAGATGGGAATGTTAAGCAAGTTGCCCAAAGTCAGGTGGTCATTCTCCTAAGGTCACTGCCAGCCTTTCCCTCCGCCCCTCCCACCCCATTCTCACACTTTCTCACCCGGATGTAACAGAGAGTGCAACATAGACTACAAAAGCCTTCTTTCATAATGTTGTTTTAAAGTCATCTCAACCGAAATGCTCCCAGAGAGCTATTTGGGCTTCGAATTACATAAAGGATTTGAACTGTTACTCAGATTCTAATGAGCACTTCTTTATTTGGTAGGACATTTTTGTTGAGGATTTTAAAGCAGGGATGACTAATAGGTTCCAAAATTTGGATACTATTAACAAATAGTGTTAACCATACAAATAAACCTTTGCCCTTCTAAACTGTAATGCCAGAATATATTCTTTTCTAGATATTACAATAAGATTTATTTTCTTTGCTTTAGGGTACTTTTGACTTCAGTGACATTGCTGTCTATATATTCAATAAACCTCCTATTGATCTGTTCAAAAGAAACAGGTAAGCTGAGGACGTGTTTGATTTTGTTAAAACCAGGGTGAATTATTTTTATGGTAGCATTGTGGAACAATGATGTTCTCTCTGTACAGCAATTTGATTATTAAAAAGAAAGACTATTTTGACCTAGAGTGATTGGAAGACCTATAGTAGTATTTATCTAGAGAAACAGTTGCAGCAAAATATAAATTAAATTGTCATGGACAATGAGAAAATAATGTTGTCACTTAAAGTGAACCCTCAATTATACCTGTTTTTCTGGTTTAAAATGACTTCATTTTAAAAGCTTGTTTTTCCTTAGGTCTTTATAAATCCAGAACAAAGATCCCATGTTTTTATATTATAACTTCCAAGGTTTTAAAAGTAAACAGACCTGTCATTCTCTTGTGCATATTCCAAGGAGAAAGTGTTACTCCTGAGGCAATGTGGGAGTGAGCAAGCTATGAAGAGACTTCAAGTACTCTGGGCAGTGTAATACCTGAAGTGTTTATTTTCTATTTCTGGGACACTGGATTATGTTTGTAATTCTTTGACTTTTACATTAACTAAAACCACATTGGTCAACTATTATTGTATATACATGACTCCATTTAACTGGAACATTTTATAATAAATTGAGGAGCTAACCATTGTCTAGTTTAAACACCAGTCTTATGAGAGATTAAACAAAGGTTTAATTATAGCCTGTCCCATATTGCTCTCCGTGAACCTTTTGAAAACATGAACTGAACAGTTATAAAGAAATATAAACACTTTTTAAAAAGTGAATGCTTTAGAGTTTCAGTATTTATTGAGATGAGCTAGTCGAACACTTTCAAATTTTGCTACAGACAAATTATGCTTTTGACAGATTAGTCTTCTGCTCTCTTTTGTGAGTTGCATGTATTTGAACTACATTTTATGAATAATTAGGTTTTGTATGTCGTGGCTATTAAAATGTTTCTAAGCTTGTTATTACATTTAGAACGTGGAGGCATTGATGGGATGTTATTAAGATAATTCCTTGTTTGCCTAATCAGTTCAGGTCATTAATTCAAAAGGAATCTTTTTGTTTCAACTATTAGGATCTTTTTAAATCAAATATGTATTTTAATGGTGTACACCAGACCTGAAGAAAAAGATCACAGAAGGAATTTCCCCTTTGTAAGATAGAGGTAGTTAAAAATAAGCCTTATGACCTAATAGGTTAATTGTAATGCTCTGGTAGCCAACTTGAAAAAGGAGAAATGATGGTTGCATCTCACATTTTAAAATGTTAAGAATTTGTTTTGTAATGAGGATACCTTAACCCCTGAAGGCCAAAATGACTATTTGTGTGAGTTTGAGAAAGGCACATAGTAACTTGGGGAACAGTCAATAGAATGACAAAATCTTGACTATTTTAACTTTCTGAACCCTGTCATTTCTTGTGTTCTCAAATTTGATTTTTAAATAGGCTGCATGGTGTATGAAAAGCTGGGGGAACAAGTCTTTGGCACCACAGGGAAGTTCGTAATCTTTGGAGCCACCTCTCTACAGAACACTGGAGGTAAAAAGAACATGCTTTTCTTTACATAACTTGAAACTAATTCTGGTGGATGAGCGGCCACATGAATTTTAACATAATTCAAGCAGTTATCATCCTCATTGCTAAAATGGCACAGGGAAAGTAAAGCAGAGACAGCAGTCACTTATTTAAAGCCACAAATCCTGCTAGAGTAGCTGAAGTTGCCTTTGTGTCTTACTGACAGTTGGTCTAAGAACGGGCTGATAACTTTTTATGTAGCTTGCAACATAAGCCTTCGTATCTTCTTTCTAAAAATGTTCTCATTTTCCTTCAGCAATGCTGAGCTACCTCTTCATCGTAAAAAATGAACTACCCTCTGCCATAAAGTTTCTAATGGGAAAGGAAGAGACATTTTCGTAAGTTATAGACCATTTTTTTATGATATAACTAAAATGTTTTTAATTTAAATATGGGCCAATCAAAATTCTTGCTTGTGAATATTGCAGAAAGTTTTTCCTAGGCTGCGTTTTGTTTGTTTGTTGTTTCAACAATAAATTTCTTTGGGGCTATATAAAGGAAAAAAGCAGGAGAGCCATTTGCATATGCACATTTGAAAAGTAGATTTGTCTGTCATGCTATGAGCGGTAGATACTGCATTTTCCCCAGAGCCTGAAATCTATATCTAGTTTCTGTGAAATAGAACAGATATGCAGTATTTTTAACACAAAAGTGGAACGTGCAACAAAAATTAAGACCCTAGCCTCTTACTTAAAGAAGGGACATAGCATTTTGGGGGCGAAATTTACATGAGCCAACCTCATTAAAGATGTAGATAACCCTGGAAAATGTTGCAGCTACATTTGGCACAATTGTGTTTTGACTCCCTCTTGTTTAACAGTTCTTGTCAGTCTTAGTTTCTCTGTTTTCTTTCAAGGGAGAATCGTAGAAGCCAGAGTCTCTAGTGTTCTCAGGATTCAAGGTCAAATCCAAGGGATCAGGGAGAGAGAAATGTCTACCTGTAGTGACTTGTTTCTCACTGATACTAGCCCAGCAAAACAAAAAGGAGCTTTCTCTTTAAATAATTGATAGGACAAGTTGTAATCTGACAGAATGAAATGTGTGCATTCAGCTTTGAAACCATGTAAATAATTCAAAAGAATGCCACATTTAGCCAATGGGAAAAAAAAAAACCAATATTCCCTCTTCCATTACAGGGGAGTGAAGCTGTAGTATATAAGTAGGGGCTGGGTTAAAGTGTTTGGATAAGACCTGAATAATGATTTTAAAAATTAATGCATATAGTAAAAATTAATAAAAATATATATCATGATATCATGAAATTTTACATTGGAGGGGAAAAAAGTCACTTTCTAAAAAAATATAACCTAATCACTTAAATGCCTTTCAGAGCCTGGTACGTGGATGGCCGCGTTCTGGTGGTGATAGTTACCTTTGGCATAATTCTCCCTCTGTGTCTCTTGAAGAACTTAGGTAAGGACAGATTTTGCTTTTATCATATTCTGCAGTGCCCAAGTGAATCAGAAACTGAATAAAAATGGACAGTGTTGCCCTCTGCTTCCCCTCTGCATGCACTCAAAGATTAAGTACATGATAAATTGCAAGTATTAATCGGTCCCAACTTTAATATGGGATAAAAATAACAGTCAGTATGTGACCTCCTAAACAATCCCTCTACTGAGCTGTGGAGGGGAGAAGGGAGGTCCTGGGGCCAGGACAGACAGGGCTATTTTCAGTAGTACAACTTATATGCTACTCTAAGAAAAGTCCAGAAAATGCAATTCTCTTCATACGAAGTCTTAAATACCCTCATTATTTAGATAAATACATTTTCAAATCTAATATGGAGACAGAAAGCTGCCTAGATTTATACCCACAAGTATTATAAATTTAGAGAGTCTGACCAGCCTCAATTATTTCTCTTCGAAGTGGGAGAGAGAAATCAAAAGTCAGAAATGGCGGATAATCTCCAAGTCATATCCATTTGGCTTTGATCTACTACTTGTTTTTATGCTTGTATTTGGAGACAAGGATGCCTGATGTTAAGGGAATTTCATACATTGAATAATGTGACCAGACTGCCATCTAGTCAAAAACCTATAAAATGTATTTACTTTAATTCTGGGCTAATTCAAACAGAAGTTTGGATAAAAGCTCTCCAAACAATAATTATGAGCCTTAGTTTTTTGTTTTGTTTTGGATACAAAACAAAACAGCTCTGTAGTTGTTCTGTGAGGTTTATAAATAGATTTTTTTAACTACTTAATTTTCTGGTTTCTGCCTCTGTGTTTTCTGTACCTATAGAGGTAGCTCTTTTCAGTTAAGTAGAGAAAAGCTCTTCCCCTGGGTTGAAAATAATGCAGTCCCGAGAGGCTACTTAACTCTACCTTTCTGGAGGTCATGGTAGCAATTGGAGATCTCCCAGGCATTCTAAGGGGAGCTACTAAAGAGCCCCAGATACTCAATTTACCACTAGAAATTCGCTTCATCTACTCTCTGTCATCTGGGGAGAAAAGTATTATAACTGACATTCAGTATGCACACAATAAGTGCATAATAAAGAGCTATTGAGGGGATCAAGGAGTAAATGGGTTTGCCCATAGGACTCCATCAGGGTCCACCAACACAGACTTACAGCAAAAATTGGAAGGCTCTTTTCTGCTGGATTCTGGGAATCTGTGTTCTCTAGTGTGCCAGGGAGAGTTGGAATCAAAACACGTAATATAATGTTTCTATTCAGAGCCCCATTTTTTTGCCAAATAAAGTAGCACTGTCAAATAATAAATCTTGTATTCACTTGGGCATGTATGTTTATTATTGGATCTCTAAAATATGCTTCAAATAATGCACTGAAATAAGTGAGGTGATGAATTTTGAAATAATAACAGTTTATGATGGGTAGCTCCAAAATTTTTAAAAATGGAAAAAAATGAAATAATTTATTTTTTACTTTTTTTTAAAGGGTATCTTGGCTATACTAGTGGATTTTCCTTGAGCTGTATGGTTTTTTTCCTAATTGTGGTAAGTGCTGATTGCAATGGTTGGTTTGGTTTTGTGATAGTACAATGGCATGTAATAATTATTCATTGGCTTTACTAAAGTCCATATTGCTTCTACTATACTTCTTAATACCAGGTTATTTACAAGAAATTTCAAATTCCCTGCATTGTTCCAGAGCTAAATTCAACAATAAGTGCTAATTCAACAAATGCTGACACGTGTACGCCAAAATATGTTACCTTCAATTCAAAGGTAAGTTTCCTGATCCTTTGCAGATGAAACAAGCATTTTTATTAAGGACATTCTATTTCTCATGCTTGTAATTGCACTGGTTTGAATGTATTAGTTCTCAAAAGAACACATGATACCATTGCTTCCAGATTACACATCTATGTAGAGATCCTTGAGAAATATACAAATATTATATTTTACACTCTCTCTTACCATTAAGCATTCTCTGTGAAAATCCCATTCTGGATAATTGTCTCAGCTTTTTCTGTGTAGAGTGCTAGGTGATACTTCAAAAACAGACTAACAACATCCTTAGCTCCCTTCTTCTGGCGATGACAGAAAGGAATACTGCAGACTTCCTCAGGTTGCACAGTTGAAATATAGATGCCACCACAAACTGGCACTTAAAAAACTCTCATACTATTAAAATATTGTTGATACAATGGGAAACAGAGGATTATGGAGTCAGTCAGGCTTGGATTTGAATCCTCAGGCAAGTCACCCAACCCCTTGAGTAAAAATAAGTATTCTATTCTGTATCTTACAAGGTTTTGTTAGAATGTGCCTGGCATAGTGCATCAGCAGAGTTAGGGCATAAGATAGGTTAGTTTTCACTTCTTTTTGCATAGGAAGTTAGATTGAGTGTGAGAGTTTCAAAGAGCCTTATCTAAGAAAACTAAATAGATCGCGATCTTTCTCCTTCTCTCTGATTGTAAGGATATAGCCAAAGTAGTGCAATATGGAACAGATTTTCTTTTCAGAGGGTATCTTTTAAGTCCGATTCCATGCACCTGATGTAGAGCGAAGAGCAGTAAACTAGAGGTGGGAGTGCTGGGCCAGTCGCCTGACCTGTTGGAGGGAGCCAGGAGAACAGCCACAGTCTGCCTACTGCTTGGGATTGCTGTGGGGACCCAGCGAGCTATCCTAGGAAGAGTGCCATGTAACTGGCTCATGCTGTATAAACAGGGGGTGTTGTATACCTGGAGTATATAAAATACACCATAGGTGAGCCAAATCCGAAGTCCCTCTGTGACAAGTGGCTAATGGCTCGAGCTAGACAAGCTGTCTTAGAAAAGCTGCTTCTACTTTAGAGATCAAAACCTCCCTAATAACCGAATAATCCAGGGATTCTGAAGAGCTGTCAGATAAAAAGACAGCTCAGAAATACTGGAGCTATGTCCTTTTTATGGTAAAAGTGTTTTTCCTAATGTCTATTCTTTTCTCTCAAATAGACCGTGTATGCTTTACCCACCATTGCATTTGCATTTGTTTGCCACCCGTCAGTCCTGCCAATTTACAGTGAGCTTAAAGAGTAAGAAATTTGTTTAATTTTTTATCTTAATCGTTTTACATCCCCTCATTAATAGGCAAGTATGCAATTAAAATAAACGGACTTGTCTAATGAACGTCAGCGGATTCATCACCCAGCTTCAACATTTACTCACATTGTGCCATTCTTAAACAAGCATTGTATTTTAAGAAACAAGAAAGCAAGAAAAATCAGAAACTTGCAGTATTTTGGGGGGCCATAAACATAAAAAGTAGCCAACCATGTGGGCTTTTTCATTAATTTGGTTTTTCAAATATTGTATCACCGAGGAAAGTTTAAGTATTTGTGTTGCTTTCCATTACGTATGCGTATTTTGCAAGTGGGTGATAATCTTCAGATTTATCTGTAAACTGCTAAATACATCGTCTCTGATTTGCCTGTGGGTTTGGGTGAAAAGGCTAGTAAATCAGACAATAAGAAATCAATATTAAGACCACAAACTAGGAAAAGAGAATATTGCTGTTCATTTTTAACTATTAAGAAAATTCTATGGATTTATTGATTTATTTTTGATTGCTGGTTTTGAGAAAATTAAGGCCTGCTTATAAACTTCTTCATGTCTCTTTTTAGCCTATGGTTATCAAACATAAACAAAAATAGTCACAATAGCGTATCTTAAAAACTTAGAAAAGATCGACAATATCAGTATTTATTTCCAGTTTGAAACAAAGTTGATGTCATTTAGCATTGAATCCACTCATATATCTTTGGCGTCTTTTAATAGTTCAGCTTTTAGTTTTAGTTTTTAATTTTCTCAAGCGTATACTTCTCAATTTTTCTTTATTTATTTTTTTTTTTTTGAGACAGAGTCTCCCTCTGTCACCCAGGCTGTAGTGCTATGGTGTGATCTCAGCTCACTGCAGTCTCAACTTCCCAGGGTCAAGCAATCCTCCCACCTCAGCCTCTCAGGTAGCTGGAACTACAGGCACATGCCCCATGCCCAGCTAACTTTTGTATTTTCTGTAGACACAGAGTTTCACCATGTTGCCCAGGCTGGTCTTGAACTCCTGAGCTCAGGTGATCTGCCTGCCTCAGCCTCCCAAAGTGCTGGGATTATAGGCGTGAGCCACCGCGCGGGGCCTACTTCTCCGTTTTTCTTGTTTTCCATACTTCTATGGCATCCTAGATTCCTTGACATAACCAAATGTTATGACTATCTGTGGTCTGTTATTTATTGAATACAAGTGTTGCAGATTAATTGTTTGGGCAGTTAAAGAAACTTAGAGGGTCATCCCAACCCCAGAGTGAACTTGACCTGAGAGATGGAGCCCTTCATCATTCCAGCTGTGATCTCTTGGGCACTTGCTGCGCTGGAGACCTACAGACTTCCAGGTGCATCCCTGAGGCCACCCAATGGGAAAATCAGAACCTGAAACAGCAGCTTTAGAGACAGAACACCTGAGGTCAAGTTCCAGCTCTGCCACTAATCTCTGGAGCTAGGAGAACAGCATTGATTTTTTTCTGCCTTTTTTCCTTTGCCCAGCTAGTGTGGAGATAATATCAAGCACAAATATTAAAAAAATGCTGTCTGCCCTTCCGATGAGAACTCGATATTCTTTTAAAAGAATGGGGAAGAACGCTAACGGGAGTGTAGTTCCACAGATCTCACCCTCAATACCAATTCAGTATAAGAGAGGTTATTTTCAACTGGCATAACTGCCAGGGGTAATTTCAGCTGTTCAGATCTTCCCTAACCTGACAGAAGCAAAGTTAAATTAGTATTCTTCAATGTTAACACTGGTGCTTAAATTCAGTCATATGATTTTTAATTTTTAACATTTATTTGTTTTTAGCCGATCACAGAAAAAAATGCAGATGGTTTCAAACATCTCCTTTTTCGCCATGTTTGTTATGTACTTCTTGACTGCCATTTTTGGCTACTTGACATTCTATGGTAAGTAATTTCTACTGGTACATAAATATAAATATTTGTAAACAAATTAGTAAAAATTAGTGTTGAAATAACTTTTAACATGAAAGGCAAAGAAAGCAACAAAGCTATCCATTGGTTTTTCTAGTTTTTTCTTCGACTTAAAGCAATGGTGATCTTTTCATGTTCATGCAGACTGCCGAATAAAATAATTACTCAAACAATATTTATAATTTTTTTCTCCTAACAGTGTCCTTAATAGAAATTGCATTTTAGAAGCATGCTACCTTTACTGAGGAAGGTTTAAAACTACATCAGAGAAGGCTTTCCTAATTGACACCGCAAATTGGGTCAGATTCCATTAATAGAATGGAGAGACAGAGACAGATGCTGAAAGTGAGAAAGAGCAGAGTGCTACACTCATGACACTCTGAGTTAATTAAAAATGAAACTTCTAATTGTTCACTGGAAGTCGAAGCCTTGCAAAGATCCAAAGGAATGATAGAAAATTTTAAAAAATGAAATCTGAAAAAGGGAACAAGTTTTCATATGTAACTTTTACTGACCCTGAATGAACAGTTTACCGGCGTTTACTGCTTCTTCATCCTCTCCTATTCAAATTATCCTGAAGCTTGATTTAATATCTTTCATTATCTTTATAATTGGGGACCTAATTTAAATATATATATGTGTATATATATGTGTGTCTATATATATGTGTATATATATGTGTGTGTATATATATATATATGTATGTATTTCACAATCTTCTCTACTAAATAATAATTCTTTGGGACTTTTTTTCATAAACACAAATGTCTCAAAATTAAACACATTTAAAAAGTATTAATTCAGCCTGGAGAAAAAGGCTACTCTGATTATACAGATATTATTATTGTTTTCACTAGCAATAGAGAATGGCATTGTCTAATGAATTCATAAATACCACATTTAATTTTTACATAAAAATGGTGTTGCTAAGGTGCATACAGAGTTGTACAGGGAGAGAGAGGCGGAGAACTTAATGTTAGTTGAAGTCTCACTGTTGTCTTGTTGAAGCTATAATTTTTCTTTGTAGATGCATTATTTTTCACATAGAATAGAACACCAAACACTTTTATTACTCTTGGATTAAAGAAAAAGGATTAGCTATTTTTTAAGTGGTTAGTTATTTTGAATTAAGGAAATTAGAACTAGTGAGATTGGTATTATAACTTATGGTTCTTTTTTGGAAACTGAGACCAAGCTAAGCTCTATGGTACAGATTAGCATTTGAATTCCATGCTGAGGACCTTGAGACTGGTGCAGTGAGAGGCCCTTGCAGGAGACAGGAGGGGAAATTACCTCTTGTCAAAAGAGTGAGCAGTTCCATACTCTATGTGACTGCCATTCTAGCTTTGTTAGTCTTTGAAATAACACTTTCTGAAGTTCTGGATTGAGAAAAAGTTCAAAGTAGTACATAAGGCCAGGTACGGTGGCTTGCACCTGTGATCCCAGCATTTTGGGAGGCCAAGGTAGGTGGATAGCTTGAGCCCAGGAGTTCGAGACCAGCCTGGGCAACATAATGAGACCCCCATCTCTACAAAAAAAAAAAAAATACAAAAATTAGCCAAGCATGGTGGCACATGCCTGTAGTCCCAGCTACTCAGGAGGCTGAGGCAGGAGGATTGCTTGTGCCCATGAAGCAGAGGTTGCAGTGAGCCAAAATGGCACTATGGCAACCATATTCCAGCCTGGGTGATAGAGCAAAACCCTGTCTCAACACACACACACACACACACACACACACACACACACACACACACACACACACAAAGTAGTACATAAACTAATTTTTTTTTTTTTACAAGAACAACATACATGAAAGAGTGGAATTATTTCCTGATGGTGAAATTTCAACTAGTGTCTCTGCTGCTTGGCCACTTGAAGTTGACTTAACAAGAGAAGAGTTTGAAACAAGCTCCAAGGTGGCTTGTAGCTCTCCCCACCCCACCCCCTCCCTGAGCAAGCCTGTGGCAGTTTGGTGTGGTTTGAAGAGTGGAGGGAAAGTCTAGATTAAGAGCAGCTTCGCGTTTCAACTGTATGTTTCATTCTCGAGCCCAGTGTACTCCTAGGTTTAATTTAGTCTAAATTAAGCATTCCCACTCCATGTAGCTTCTTCCAGTGATTACTTTAAATTTCTTTGCTAAGTCGCGTATGCACAGTGGAGCATGTCTTACATAGAGATTTTTCTTTCCAACCTGATTGTTTTAATAGACATTTCGAAACATTGCTTTTCTTGCCCTTTAGTTTACAGATTCTTTGTTTTTCAGAAAAACTGTCATTCAGCTATATACTTTGTCTCCTTTTAAAACCCTCTTGCTTTTCCCTCATTTTAGACAACGTGCAGTCCGACCTCCTTCACAAATATCAGAGTAAAGATGACATTCTCATCCTGACAGTGCGGCTGGCTGTCATTGTTGCTGTGATCCTCACAGTGCCGGTGTTATTTTTCACGGTGAGTAAGGGCCTCTGTGCAATATGAGAAAAGCTGAGGTCTCGGCTTTCCTTCTGCCTGCAGGAGCCCGTTGCAGAGAAAGCCTGCCCCAGGTAACTTTCCTGGGTTATTGAATCTGCATCTGGGAAAGATCCCAAGACTCGGTTCAGGCTCTTTGAAAAGCAAGTGGCATTCAGTGCGTCAGGGAGCCTCTGATGCAGTGAATCTCCATTCTAATTAATCTGACCCTGTTCTTTCCAAAGAAATGACAATAGAATGTTCAAATCTCAGTAGACATGAAGAGAGAATATAAAAAGAACAGAAATGAACATTCAAGTCTTAGATAAACCAAAGACAGAAATTACACCCCCCAACAAGAAAACTCTACTACTCATAAATAAAAATACTTTCCCTCTTAAGTCAAGCCCCCGTACTTCCAAAACTGTTAAGCTATCTATAAATTCACTAGGCATTACAAAACATTTCATGAATTCCTGTGCACCAATAAATCAGTTACTCTGCAGAGAAATGTCAATGTTGGCATGCTGTAGGCACTTACAGAATCTTTGTTTTCTTTTCTTGCAGGTTCGTTCATCTTTATTTGAACTGGCTAAGAAAACAAAGTTTAATTTATGTCGTCATACCGTGGTTACCTGCATACTCTTGGTTGTTATCAACTTGTTGGTGATCTTCATACCCTCCATGAAGGATATTTTTGGAGTCGTAGGTATGGCTTCATGACTTTGTGCTTGTCATTCTACAGTAGCTGTTTGCAGGGAAATTTTCACAATAGCAATGCTAAACTTTCTCTTTTGTCTTATTTTACAGGAGTTACATCTGCTAACATGCTTATTTTCATTCTTCCTTCATCTCTTTATTTAAAAATCACAGACCAGGATGGAGATAAAGGAACTCAAAGAATTTGGGTATGTCTCTTGCCAGCCACTCTAACTTTTCTGATTAGTTTTCCATTTAAATTTACAAAATAAATAGTCCACCTCTCTATCAAGACTACTTTCAGTTGCCTTGAAAGGAGGCAGAAGCCCTGTAGCTTTGCTACTTGGGAGATATTTAAAATATCATATCAGAATCTTCTCCCATCCCTCCAAATATCTTTTCTGGTTTTACTCTTTTTTTTTGAGATGGAGTCTCACTCTGTCGCCCAGGCTGGAGTGCAGTGGCCAGATCTCAGCTCACTGTAAGCTCCGCCTCCCGGGTTCATGCCATTCTTCTGCCTCAGAGAGTAGCTGGGACTACAGGCGCCCGCCACCATGCCTGGCTAATTTTTTTTCTTTTTTCTTTTTTCTTTTTTGTATTTTTAGTAGAGACGGGGTTTCACCATGTTAGCCAGGATGGTCTGTATCTCCTGACCTCATGATCCGTCTGCCTCGGCCTCCCACAGTGCTGGGATTACAGGCATGAGCCATCGCGCCCGGCCCTCTGGTTTTACTGTTATTGTGCCTCAGCTTTTGTTCTGATCCAGGGCATGGCCAGTCAGAAGAATGGACATTCATCCTCCTGTGTCTCTATAGGACAGTGTCTAGTCTTCAGCAAGAGAGGAAGTGACGAGGGACTCACAGATGTTATGCAGTCCACTGTTTCCATATGATTTCTAGTCATGTAACTCCTCCCTACAGCCCAGGGAACATGCAATGCCTTAATTAAAATGTCTGAGTTAGCTTAAATAGTCTTTTTTATTATTTGACAGATATGCTTTGGAACAACAGACCTGGATTCAAAAACTACCTTTCTATATTGGGATTCTTGTTTCCAGGTCTGGTGAAGTTCAAGGGCATCTTGAACGTGGTGCACTTGGAGACAGTGAGGGAAGCAGGGGTGAAGTGGCTGCTACCTGAGTCCCTTCTGGAGCTCCATTTTGCTTGGTCTTGGAGAAGGCTTCTCAGCTGCCCTCCCAGCTAGTGTAAGCACTGCAATTGTACCTGTTACCTGAGTCAACAGATCCAGATGAGAGGTGTAGGCAGGAGGGTCATCTCTGTGCATTTAGGAAAAGCAGCACTGATGCTAGTAGAGCATCCAGTTCCCCAACATGATCACCCCTGAAGCCTTAATTCCCAAATCCTTCCAAGCCTTATCTGTAGGGGCTTAATGAGGACAGAGAGGAAGAAACAGTCACTCTGGCACAACAGGACAATATATTCAGATTAAATCTGAAAATGGTGGAGGCCTGCTGCCCATGAATTCTGAGCCTCTCCAACCCTGGTCCCATAATGAAACTAGTAGTAGGGTCTTCCAAATGGCATTAGACAAGGGTTCCATCTGTGTAAGGACCACTGGGAGTTAGACTGGACCCAGGATGGTATGCCATGTGCAGCCATGTCAACCCCCAATTTGCTCCTCTCCTTCCTTAGCTCTTTCTCTTCCTCCAGTTTCCAGTCCAGCCCTGTTGGCTCTCAGAATGCATCATCCTTCTCCCTGCAGCGCTCTCACTGAACATGCTCAAGCGCAAGGAACTTATAATCTTGTGTTCTCTGGATTCTGGATTTAGTAATCTGTATTAGTCTGTTCTCACACTGCTAATAAAGAAATACCTGAGGTTGCTTCCAAGATAGCCAAATAGGAACAGCTCTGGTCTGCAGCTCCCAGCAAGATCGATGTAGAAGATGGGTGATTTCTGCATTTCCAACTGAGGTACCTGGTTCATCTCACTGGGACTGGTTGGACAGTGGGTGCAGCCCATGGAAGGTGAGCTGAAGCAAGGTGGGGCGTCACCTCACCCAGGAAGCACAAGGGGTCAGGGGATTTACCTTTCCCAGCCAAGGGAAGCCATGACAGACTGTAACTGGAGAAACGGTACACTCCTGACCAAATACTGCACTTTTCCCACAGTCTTAGCAACTGGCAGACCAGGTAATACCCTCCCGTGCCTGGCTCAGTGGGTTCCATGCCAACGGAGCCTTGCTCACTGCTAGCGCAACAGTCTAAGATCGACCTGCGACGCTGCAGCTTGATGCAGGGAGAGGCATCCAACATTGCTGAGGCTTGAGTAGCTCACAGTGTAAGCAAAGAGGCCCGGAAGCACAAGTTGGGCAGAGCTCATCGCTGCTCAGCAGGGCCTACTGCCTCTATAGATTCCACCTCTGGAGGCAGGGCATGGCAGAAAAAAACGCAGCAGACAGCTTTTGCAGACTTAAACGTCCCTGTCTGATGGCTCTAAAGAGAGCAATGGTTCTCTCAGCATGGCATTCGAGCTCCAAGAACAGACAGACTGCCTCCCCAAGCAGGTCCCTGACCCCCATGTAGCTGGACTGGGAAACACCTCCCCATCAGGGGCTGAGAGATACCTCAAACACGTGGGTGCCCCTCTGGGACGAAGCTTCCAGAGGAAGGATCAGGCAGCAATATTTGCTATTCTGCAGCCTTTGCTGGTGATACCCAGGCAAACAGATTCTGGAGTGGACCTCCAGCAAACTCCAACAAACCTGCAGCTGAGGGGTCTGACTGTGGGAAGGAAAACTAACAAAGAGAAAGCAATAGCATCAACATCAACAAAAAGGACATCCACACCAAATCCCCATCTATAGGTCACCAACATCAAAGACCAAAGGTAGATAAAACCACAAAGATGGGGAGAGAAACCAGAGCAGAAAAGCTGAAAATTCCAAAAAACAAGCACCTCTTCTCCTCCAAAGGATCGCAGCTCCTTGCCAGCAAGGGAACAAAACTAGACGGAGAATGAGTTTGACAAGTTGACAGAAGTAGGCTTCAGAAGGTTGGTAATAACAAACTTCTCTGAGCTAAAGGAGCATCTTCTAACCCATCGCAAAGAGGCTAAAAACTGTGGAAAAAAAAAAGGTTAGATGAATGGCTAACTAGAATAACCAGTGTAGAGAAGACCTCAAATGACCTGATGAAGCTGAAACCCACAGCACAAGAACTTCGAGACTCATGCACAAGCTTCAATAGCCGATTCGATCAAGTGGAAGAAAGGATATCAGTGATTGAAGATCAAATTAATGAAATAAAGTGAGAAGAATACAGAAAAAAGAGTGAAAAGAAATGAACAAAGCCTCCAAGAAATATGGGACTATGTGAAAAGACCAAATATACGTTTGACTGGTGTTCCTGAAAGTGAGGGGGAGAATGGATCCAAGTTAGAAAACACTCTTCAGGATACTATCGAGGAGAACTTCCCCAATCTAGCAAGGCAGCCCAACATTCAAATTCAGGAAATACAGAGAACACCACAAAGATACTCCAAGAAGAGCAACCCCAAGACACATAATTGTCAGATTCACCAAGGTTGAAATGGAGGAAACAATGTTAAGGGCAGCCAGAAAGAGAGGTTGGGTTACCTACAAAAGGAAGCCTGTCAGACTAACAGCCGATCTCTCTGCAGAAACCCTACAAGCCAGAAGGGAGTGGGGGCCAATATTCAACATTATGAAAGAAAAGAATTTTCAACCCGGAATCTCCTATCCAGCCAAACTAAGCTTCATAAGTGAAGGAGAAATAAAATCCTTTACAGACAAGCAAATGCTGAGAGATTTTGTCACCACCAGGCTCGCCTTACAAAAGCTCCTGAAGGAAGCACTAAACATGGAAAGGACCAACCAGTACCAGCCACTGCAAAAACATGCCAAATGGTAAAGACCAGTGACTCTATGAAAAAACTGCATCAATTAACGAGCAAAATAACCAGCTAACATCATAATGACAGGATCAAATTCAAACATAACAATATTAACCTCAAATGTAAATGGGCTAAATGCCCCAATTAAAAGACAGAGAAAGGCAAATTTGATAAACAGTTGAGAACCATCAGTGTGCTGTATTGAGGAGACCCATCTCATTTGCAAAGATGCACATAGGCTCAAAATAAAAGGATGGAGGAAGATCTACCAAGCAAATGGAAAGCAAAAAAAAAAGCAGGACTTGCCATCCTAGTCTCTGATAAACCAGACTTTAAACCAACAAAGATCAAAAGAGATAAAGAGGGCCACTACATAGTGGTAAAGGGATCAATTCACCAAGAAGACCTAACTATTCTAAATATATATGCACCCAATACAGGAGCACCCAGATCCATAAAGCAAGTCCTTAGAGACCTACGAAGAGACTTAGACTCCCACACAATAATAATGGGAGATTTTAACACCCCACTGTCAATATTAGACAGATCAACGAGACAGAAGGTTATCAAGGATATCCAGGACTTGAACTCAGCTCTGCACCAAGCGGACCTCATAGACATCTACAGAACTCTTCACCACAAATCAAGACAATATGCATTCTTCTCAGCACCACATTGCACTTATTCTAAAATTGGCCACATAATTGGTAGTAAAACACTCCTCCGCAAATGTAAAAGAACAGAAATCACAGCAAACTGTCTCTTAGACACAGTGCAATCAAATTAGAACTCAGGATTATGAAACTCACTCAAAACCACACAACTACATGGAAACTGAAAAACCTGCTCCTGAATGACTACTGGGTAAATAACAAAATGAAGGCACAAATAAAGATGTTCTTTGAAACCAATGAGAACCAAGACGCAATGTACCAGAATCTCTGGGACACATTTAAAGCAGTGTGTACAGGGAAATTTATAGCACTAAATGCCTTCAAGAGAAAGCAAGGAAGATCTAAAATCGACACCCCTACATCACAATTAAAAGAACTAGAGAAGCGAAAGCAAACAAATTCAAAAGCTAGCAGAAGGTAAGAAATAACTAAGATCGGAGCAGAATTGAAGGAGATAGAGATACAAAAACCCTTCAAAAAATCAATGAATCCAGGAGCTGGTTTTTTGAAAGGATCAACAAAATTGATAGACCACTAGCAAGACTAACAAAGAAGAAAAGAGAGAAGAATCAAATAGATGCAATAAAAAATGATAAAGGGGATATCACCACCGATCCCACAGAAATACAAACTACCATCAGAGAATACTATAAACACCTCTACACAAATAAACTAGAAAATCTAGAAGAAATGTATAAATTCCTGGGCACATAAACCCTCCCAAGACTAAACCAGGAAGAAGCTGAATCTCTGAATAGATCAATATCAGGTTCTGAAATTGAGGCAATAAATAATAGCCTACCAACCAAAAAAAAGTCCAGGACCAGAAGGAATCAGAGCCAAATTCTACCAGAGGTACAAAGAGGAGCTGGTACCATTCCTCCTGAAACTATTTCAATCAGTAGAAAAGAGGGAATCCTCCCTAACTCATTTTATGAGGCTAGCTCATCCTGTTATCAAAGCCTGGTGGAGACACAACAAAAAAAGAGAATTTTAGGCCAATATCCCTGAGGAACATTGATTTGAAAATCCTCAGTAAAATACTGGCAAACCAAATCCAGCAGCACATCAAAAAGCTTATCCACTATGATCAAGTCAGCTTCATCCCTGGGATGCAAGGCTGCTTCAACATATGCAAATCAATAAATGTAATCCATCACATAAACAGAACCAATGACAAAAACCACATGATTATCTCAATAGATGCAGAAAAGGCCTTTGACAAAATTCAACAGTGCTTCATGCTAAAAACTCTCAATAAACTAGGTATTGATGGAACATATCTCAAAATAATAAAGAGCTATTTATGACAAACCCACAGCCAATATCATACTGAATGGGCAAAAACTGAAAGCATTCCCTTTGAAAACTGGCACAAGACAAGGATGCCCTCTTTCACCACTCCTATTCAACATAGTGTTGGAAGTTCTGGCTAGGGCAATCAGGCACAAGAAAGAATGAAAATGGTATTCAATTAGGAGAGGAGGAAGTCAAATTGTCTCTGTTTGCAGATGATCCCTGATTGTATATTTAGAAAACCCCATTGTCTCAGCCCAAAATCTCCTTAAGCTGATAAGGAACTTCAGCAAAGTCTCAGGATACAAAATCAATGTGCAAAAATCACAACCATTCCTATACACCAATAATAGACAAACAGCCGATCATGAGTGAAATCCCATTCACATTTACTCTGAAGAGAATAAAATACCTAGGAAGCCGACTTACAAGGGATGTGAAGGACCTCTTCAAGGAGAACTACAAACCACTGCTCAACGAAATAAAAGAGGACAGAAACAAATGGAAGAACATTCCACGCTCATGGATAGGAAGAATTAATATCATGAAAATGGCCATACTGCCCAAGGTAATTTATAGATTCAATGCTATCCCCATCAATCTACCACTGACTTTCTTCACATAATTGGAAAAAACTACTTTAAAATTCATATGGAACCAAAAAAGAGCTCACATAGTCAAGACAATCCTATGCAAAAAGAACAAGCTGGAGGCATCATGCTACCTGACTTCAAACTGTACTACAAGGCTACAGTAACGAAAACAGCATGGTACTGGTACCAAAACAGATAATATGGACCAATGGAACAGAACAGAGGCCTCAGAATTAACACCACACATCTACAACCATCTGATCTTTGACAAACCTGACAAAAACAAGAAATGGGGAAAGGATTCCCTATTTAATAAATGGTGCTGAGAAAACTGGCTAGCCATATGTAGAAAGCTGAAACTGAATCCCTTCCTTACACCATATACAAAAATTAACTCAAGATGGGTTAAAGACTTAAAGGTAAGACCTAACACCATAACAACCCTAGAAGAAAACCTAGGCAATACCATTCAGGACATAGATATGGGCAAAGACTTCATGATTAAAACACAAAAAGCAATGGCAACAAAAGCCAAAATAGACAAATGGGATCTAATTCAACTAAAGAGCTTCTGCACAGCAAAAGAAACTACCATCAGAGTGAATAGGCAACCTACAGAATGGGAGAAAATCTTTGCAGTCTACCCATCTGACAAAGGGCTAATATCCAGAATCTACTAAGAACTCAAACAAATTTACAAGAAAAAAGCAACCCCATCAAAAAGTGGGCAAAGGATATGAACAGACACTTCTCAAAAGAAGACATTTATGCAGTCAACAGACACATGAAAAAATGCTCATCATCACTGGTCATCAGAGAAATGCAAATCAAAACCACAATGAGATACCATCTCACACCAGTTAAAATGGCGATCATTAAAAAGTCAGAAGACAACAGACGCTGGAGAGGATGTGGAGAAATAGGAACACTTTTACACTGTTGGTGGGAGTGTAAATTAGTTCAACCATTGTGGAAGACAGTGTGGCGATTCCTCAAGGATCCAGAACTAGAAATACCATTTGACCCAGCAATCCCATTACTGGGTATATACCCAAAGGATTATAAATCATGCTACTATAAAGACACATGCACATGTATGTTTATTGTGGCACTATTCACAATAGTGAAGACTTGGAACCCCAAATGTCCATCAATGATAGACTGGATTAAGAAAATGTGGCACATGTACACCATGGAATCGTATGCAGCCATAAAAGAAGGATCAGTTCATGTCCTTTGCAGGGACATGGATGAAGCTAGAAACCATCATTTTAAGCAAACTATCACAAGGACAAAAAACCAAACACTGCATGTTTTCACTCATAGGTGGGAGTTGAACAATGAGAACACATGGACACAGGACAGAGAATATCACACACCAGGGCCTGTCGTGGGGTGGGGGGCCCGGGGAGGGATAGCATTACGAGAAATACCTAATATAAATTACAAGTTGATGGGTGCAGCAAACCAACATGGCACATGTATACCTATGTAACAAACCTACACATTGTGCACATGTACCCTAGAACTTAAAGTATAATAATAAAAAAAAATACCTGAGACAGGGTAATTTATAAAGGAAAGAGGTTTAATTGACTCACAATTCCACATGACTGGGGAGGCCTCACAATCATAGCGGAGGGCAAACAAGGAGCAAAGTCACGTCTTACATGGTGGCAGGCAGAGCGCATGTGCAGGGTAACTCCCCTTTATAAAACCACCAGATCTCATGAGATTTATTCACTATCACAAGCACAGCATGGGAAAGACCCGCCCCCAGGATTCAATTACCTCCTACCAGGTAACTCCCATGACACGTGGGAATTATGGGAGCTAAAATTCAAGATGAGATTTGGGTAGGGACACAGCCAAACCATATCATCATCTGTCCACCTATGGCCTTCATCAGCCCTTCAGGTAACTTAGTTTTTGACACCTGTTTCCTATTTCACTTAATCAAATCTATTTTGCTTTTGTATGTTTTTTTTCCACTTTTTCAAACAGAAATGTTTGCTTGCCAGTGATAAGCTAAGTTGGTAGGTAATGAATAACAAAATGACCTGGATATTTTCTAAGGCCTTTATTCCCCCTTGGTTGTAATCTTAGTTTGAGAGAAGCCATAAGGATACCCAGTTATTTGTAGAATGGATACATACACTTGAGGTGACCATGAAGTCAAAGAATGGGACATAGAGGACTACTCTGCTTAGCTAGTTTTTTTTTTTTCCTATTTTCCCATCCTTGCAGAATCAGATTCATAAAATTTTAGAAAGATTCTCACAGTTCAGCCATGGTTGTGACAAACTCTGAATACCAGAGGACACAAAGGGAGAGGAAAAACTGTTCTATTTTTTTTCCCCAGGTACATGTGGAAAAATTTTGCTGCACTGAAAATAACCCTTGCCTTTCTCTTGCTCCAGGCTGCCCTTTTCTTGGGCCTGGGGGTGTTGTTCTCCTTGGTCAGCATTCCCTTGGTCATCTATGACTGGGCCTGCTCATCGAGTAGTGACGAAGGCCACTGAAACCCGCCGAGAAAAAGAAACATCCCTGTTGTCTGCTCAGTCAAGTCCCCACACATCAGCAATCTCTCACCACTTCTTTTGCAAGTTTACAGAAGCAAACAGAAATGTACAGGATACTTAAAATGGAATAACTTTTTGGTTGCAAAACAGAGACATGGTTCTATAATGCTTCATGTCCCTCCAAGATTTGAGATCAATTTAGGGATTGTGAAATTTTTTTTTCAAATTTCATACAATCATATTTCCCAGTACTTTTCACAATCATTTTTTACCCATCTAACTCTATGTTTTGTGGCTTCCCGGTCTCTTAGAACTTTGAAAACATGATATACAATAATGTTTATTTATTATACATCCAGATTCTGAAATAATTTTCCTACTGATGTTCAGCTCACACTATCTGTACCTTTTTAGAAGAGAAAAGAATCTTGAATTGTATATATTTATTTTGCTTTACAGAAAAAAATGGTTTCGTAAATAATTTGCCTATTTTGGTTAACATAGCACATGGAGATAATCATCTGAAAGTTATAGGGCACTGCCACTGCTGAATCAGAGCATGCCCAATATTTGAGGTGGCTCTGATTTCCTGGCAGCTGAACTCGGGTAGTCCAGTGGCCTAGCTGGTACCACATCTATTCCCATCCAGAGACATTCTCTGGCAAGTGTTCTCAGCTGAAAAGTGGTTGGGGATGATTCTTACCTTGGTAATTAAATGAAGCTACACATTTGGGTAATCTAGCAAATGAAGTATTTTTTCCCTCTTGGCAACTTGTGTCAGAGTTACTCTGGTCTGAGTCAACTTTCGCTGGGGAAAACCTATGGAACCTACTGCAAAAAGATTGTCCAAAATGCCTAAGAAAATACTCCTCTGATGCATTTAGCCTTCAACCCTACCTGTCTTGCTGAAGGGAGAAAAATGTTTTAGTACATTATAGGCCCAGCAGCTTTTATTCATGTCCACCAGCTAGTTGCACAGAGAATCATGTGTACCTAACTAAGGATGATCTAGGATAAGTAACTCCTGTTTTATATTGAGTATTTTAGGGAAGTCTTTAAAAGACTTGTTTTATATCTATAAATCTAGGTTATTACAAATACAAGAATTTTGTACCTTAAATAAGCCTCATTTCTATTTCTTCTTCATTAATTCTCCATCTAGTCTTGTGAAAAAAAAAAAAAAAAAACCCTCAGAGATAGTCTTTGTGAAGAGCTTCTGACAGAATCACTGAGTACCTTCCTTCCCCCAGATGAGGAAGACAAGGGGGTCTCAGTGTCTGTGCTGTCTCCTCTTCTCTTCCCCAACCAAGGACTGTGCCATTACTGCCCGTCTCAACTGTCCATGCAGGAGGACAGAGTTGCCTGGTACTCTTACCCTTGTCCCTCTCCTAAAGGGAGCACAAGGAAACTGAAGAGACTGAAAAAGAAGAGAGTTTGTAGCTGAAAAAGAATAGGGATAGCAAGGAAACCCAGAACTGCATTCCCCTAAGTGGGGCCATCCCATGTGATTGAATTGTCCATAGCTTGCCTATGGTGAGAAATGTGCATGCTCCGTGAGCTGGTCTCTTGAAACAGGACTTATGCTTCCTCTATATTCTGGTTAAATTTTCCAAACACATAAGTTCACTGAGCACAGATTTCTTATCCAGAGACAAGTAGAATCTAACCGCAGACTGTTGGCAGAGTTTCCAGGCACTTAGCCATGTTCCCTTCCTGACTCAAATCCCCAAAGGCCTTCACTCTCACTGAGAATCACACTACTGTCCCATAGATAAGGCAGGCATTGAAGCACCTGTCGTGATCCTCTAGGGGGGAGAATGAAAGGTTATTTCCTGCATTGCATCATCATAGCTTTTAATATAATGCTACAGAATCATATCCACATTAGGTTAGAGTTCAGATATTTGGATATGAATACCTAACCTAGCCATATCCATGGCCATCTCTGTTCTTTTCAGCAATGTTTTCCATATTATATTAGCAATGACAGAAACAGAACAAGCCAAGATCCAGTCAGTTCTTGGGAGCTTGTCTAGAGCACCAAGTAATGAAATAGCCAGGTAGTGGGATGACTGTACCTTTAAAAATACATAATTTAGTTTGCAAGCTATATTATGCTACTTTCTATTTTCCTTGTTACTTTATAGCAATTCATTTTACCCTCACAAAGTCAATTTAGAACCTTATCATTAACTGGGATGTGTAGTGATATTTTTGGGCCTCTGGGTTTCATGTGTCAATACAAGGAATATTTATTTAAAATAGATTTATTTAGAGGAGGCACAGTGTTGTTGATCTGTGTGACACCACCCATATTTTTAAAAACCTTTGTATGTTTCTCTAAATTTGTTGTTGACTGAATATAATAGACCCTACCATAATTCGTCAAATATCACTGATTAGTTACATCCTTTGTGTGAGATTAGCTGTAAAGTATACTGCTCTTATTCTTATTCAGAATAGTTAATTGGTAGCCAAAAATACATGTATCACAGATGTTAGGTCGAATTTAAACAGCACAGTCAAGTGCTATGGAAGTTTTTCTGCTAAATTAGTAGATTAAAGAATACTATACCCTAGGCATGGGGAGCAGCACGTTTTCCTTTGGTAGGTAGGATCTCTATACTAGTGAACAGTGCCAGTTCCACACTTTGGACTTAGAACTGTTCTCTAGTTATTGTAACACAGAATACTGTCAATCCCTAATTTACTTAATGTTACTTATTGGAAGTGGGGCTGATGAAATACGCACAGGAGGGAAATCTACTGTGTTTAGGCACAGGCAGCCCCAGTGTATAAGGAGATCATATTCCAAAAGGTTGTCAGTTGGTTGTTTGCAACCTGGAATGTATTTTCCTTTAGAGACCAGGTTATCCATGGTGGTTAGGCCCCTAGAGCAGCTGGAAAAGATGATCAAACCAATAGGTTAGCTGACATCGAATAATGTAATAGGTTTGCTAAAGAATCTAACCATCAAATATAATATTGTTTCCAGGGAGGGTGTTTGTTCAGAGTTGCCTGTTAGTAGAATCTGGACTGTCCATCCCAGCCACATCCCACCTACTGGACAGTAGGGGTAGAGATGCCACCAGACTACAGGTGACCAGATTGGCCTGAAACATGGTGTCCAGTAAAAACGGGGAGGAATAAGTCCATGACTGCTGGAGAGCTTGGTGGTAGGAGGAGGGTGAAGGAGGGTGAGGGGGCCTCTCATGGGTCAGAAACCTCCAGGGACATCCCTCAGCTGGTAACTCTGCTGTTGTCCGGAGGGTTCAGGCTTGGTGTGCCTTCTTCTGTTTGTCTGACTTTTGGCTCCTATGGTTCATCTCCTGCCCTGCCCACCACAGAAAAGGATGCTGCTGCATAGCTTCTCCAATGTACCAGTCATTGAGGCCAGCGCGCAGCACTTTTAATGTTTTTAGTGCTAGTAACTGTGTTTTAACTCTCCAGGAATAAGCTGGGAGGTTAGAAAACAAGAAAAAAGGGGGAAAAAAAAACCTCTCCACCCACTTTCCTTTTTTACAGTTACAGACCCTGTTGAGAAAAAGAAGCACCCAGATGGGTGATGGTGATAGGGCTTGTGGTGGACACAGGGTTGTGGTAAGATTCCTCAGTGCTTCGGCGAGCACCTAAGACTATTACCCTGGAACTGACTGCTTTCTAGAGCTTGATTCATGCCTCTAAGCCAGTGGTTCTCAAAGTGTGGCCCCTAGACCAGTAGCATCAGCATCATCGGGGACCTCATTAGAATGCAGATTCTCAGCCCCCTCCCAGACATGGTGAAGTCAGAAGCTCTCAGGGAGGGACTCAGCAAATGATTCTAAAGCGCATCAAGTTTGAGAACCACCCTAAGCCAATGAGTCTCCCTTTTACTTCCCATTAGTCCTCCCTCACCAGATGATTCCTAGGACTCATGGTGCAACATACAGGAGCCAGGCTTTAGGGAGGGGAGGAAAGGAGCCTGGCGGCAGGGGTCTCTGCAATGGCAAGAAAGTGAGTGAATCCAGCGCTGCCACCTGGTTATCCCCTTCTCGTTGAAAATAGCAGCGCAGGTGCAAATTCCTAAACACAGGCTGCCTGCACTCGGTGTTACCTCGGGCTGAGGCATGATAATATTTTATTTTTTAAAGCTGTGAGGAAATGAAAGTGAGGCTTTGGTTGGGGCGAGGCAGTTGTGAAAGAAATTAAAATAAAAGACCCTTTGTAAATGCAGACTTAGAAGAAATACTGAATTTGTGTCAGAAGTTCTCCAGTGTTTGTGTTAATCGTGTGGTGATAATCCTGTCCTCCTTTTAAAGCGAATTCTCTACTGAAAGGTCTGCTCTGCTTAAGGAGCTACAAACTGCTCTCAAAAGAATGAAATACTGAGTTCCAATTCAGTGAGGCACAGTGTTGGACTATGGCACATTTAGTTGGAGTCGGGGGGAGGTCAGGAATATGATCAGATAATGGATTTTATACCTTAGAGCAAAATCTATTAGTCTCTCTCAGTTTATCAATTTAAATGGCTTTAGGCTTATAGGGGGTGTAAACTTTAAGAATATAATTCTCCCATTCAAGTTTACAGCAAACATCTAGCCACCTTCAAAACAAAGAATATACAGACCATCATTTAGCAATACTAATACATGATTTTCCTTGGGGATGGCAGGTTTGAGAATCCTTTAGCAACAGGACATACTTCCCCTAAATTACAGTGAATTATTTATAACGAGATAAAGCTTTCAGGTACAAGCTGAAGGTGGGGTGTCTAACAACTAAAAACTATCACTAAATCTCAAAGAGAAAGTTCTTGCAAAATATGTAAAGTTCACAAGGTGCAGACATTTTCCTTCTTTAGGCTTTTATCTAAGGAAGGGCTATGAAACTGGGCCCATCTGTATACAGGCTCAAATTTACGTTTTTAAAGGAAGAATCTATGCAGCTGAGGCTTATTGCAGGAAATACTTCATTTGTATGTAAATATTATTGTAAATAAATAGGAGGCTGTATATTTTTGAAGTTGTTGATCTGCACTGAAATAGAAGTCTCTAGGATCTGCATATAAACAATAAATGTTTCCTAGAAATTAGTGGTTTTGTTTGGGAATTAGAAAAATTTACATTCTCTCCCAGGTAACATAGTTCTCTCAATGTAAACTTGGAACCTGAAACCCTACTTAATTTAGAGAAAGAAATGTCTGAGAAATAGTTCCCTTGATTTCTTATGCTGGCATTAAGATCAATTATTTAACAGATAGTCCTCTGAGATACAAGTAAGGAATATTTAGACACAAATCCTTGTCCTATAGAAACAGATATACCCAAATGACAAATTGTTTCTTCATAATGATCTTCCATTTTTAACACTGATACCACTACACAGTACATATGAAAACAGAAGCTGGGGAGAAGAATGTTTTTTTCACAATTGAATTGCTGCATTTCTCAAACTTTGGGATCTATGAAAGCGGGGAGAGGGAACCTGAATATTAATTATGAGCACAAATTTGAAGGAAAGAAAACAAAGAACCATTATCTAATCAAGCTTTGAAAGTCCTGCATGTTTGCCTTTTATTTTAGTGTTGACGCCAACATAGACTGTCTAAGGTATTTTTTTCCCCAAACACTTGAATCTTGGTCGTTGGTATGTAATCCACTCTCTAGAGTCCAGTGTACTTTAGACTTCATCTGAGTCCAATACATGTACCACACTACTGTTTTATTAATGTAAAAACCTTGTAAATGAATTTCAGATGGGTGATTTAAGTGAGTCACAAGTCACAAAACTTTGCTATTCATAGTTAATCAAATAGAACTGGGTTTTTTTTTTCAGAGTGTGGTGTAAATAAAGAAATATAAGAAGTTCTGTTCTATAACTGCTCTGTTAACATAGTTTTTAAACATTAAAAAATGTGAACTAAAAGTATTTAAAAATGTTGTGTTTGTTCTTTTGCAATGCAATACTAAAATGGGGCAGTTGTGTACTATATACACTATTCAGGATTGCTGGAGAAGGGTTATACATATTTGTCAGTGTTCTAGATCATAGAAGGTTATATATTTAAGCACCCTAACGTAAATATTTTTAAAAATACTTCTGATAGAAATCTATCTGGTCTGAAACATATACCACATTTCTCCATTCTTCATAATCAGAGTAGATTCACCATAATATTTTCTTTTTTAAGTCAAGTTTACCTTTATAAGTATTAATTTCTGCCCTGTGTTGTAGGAAGGAGTTGAGTCTTCCTCTACCCACATTGCTGCCACCTATAAAAGAAGAAATTCTATCAACACTTCATTTCTCAGTAACTATTGGGTCAAAGCTAGTGCAGCCTTGTCTTTTTATCCATCACCAACTCCTCTCCAGCATCTTAGAAAGGCTTTACCAGACCAGCAAGATGGCCAAAGTCTGATATCCAAGTTCTTCTTGTGGACAGGGCTAGCACAGGAATAGCCTGGGTCTTTTACGGTGTGGCTGGGAATGAAGACCCCCTTGATGAACTCTTCTGGCCTACCCAGGTGACAGCAGTGCATTCTGTAGGGCCTCGGTGGCACACACGCAAAACTCAAAGTAGAAACCTGGGGTACGGGAGTCCAAGTCATGTTCTCCAATATAACTTCGTTAGGAATAAAGCTGATATTTTTATCCTTACATGCTTCCTATGCCTACTTCTTAATTGATCAAAACCCCAAGGGCAAAGGGTGTGAGTGAGTAATTAGCACTTTTAAACTCAAGCAGTGGTAAAAGTTAAAAGACTATTGAGAATCTGAGCAGATTTTGTTCCAAATTGAAAGGGCCAGTCCTGCAGTGCCTTTGATAGTTCTGGCTTCTTCCTTCTACTCTCCCTCCATGAGTATTTGCTAATACTGTTCCATTCCGTCCTTTTTTACACAGAATTGTCAGGGAAGAGCTATTCTCTGCCTTTCCCATGGAATTAACTATGGGCTTGTATTAGGGCTCTCCAGAGGGACAGAATTAATAGGATATATGTATATATGAAAGAGAGTTTATTAGGGAGAGTTGGCTCACATGATCACAAGGCGAAGTCTCACAATAGGCCGTCTGCAAACTGGGGAAGAAAGAAGCCAGTAGTGGCTCAGTCCGAGTCCAAAAGCCTCAAAAGTAGGTAAGCTGACAGTGCAGCCTTCAGTCTGTGGCCAAAGGCCAGAGAGCCCCCAACAAACCCCTGGTGTAAGTCCCAGAGTCCAAAAGCCAAAGAACCTAGAGTCTGATGTCCAAAGGCAGGAGGAATAGAAGGAAGCACCCAGCATGGGAGAAAGATGAACACCAGAAGACTCAGCAAGCCAGCTTAGCCCGTCTTCTTCCACCTGCTTTGTTCTAGCCATGCTGGCAGCTTATTGGATGGTGCCCACCCCCATTGAGGATGGGTCTTCCTCTCCCAGTCCACTGACTCAAATGTCAATCTCCTCTGGCAACCCCCTTGCAGATGCACCCAGAAACAATACTTTACCAGCTATCTAGGCATCCTTCAGTCCAATCAAGTTGACACCTAATATTAACCATCACGGGGCTTAATGATAACTTTGCAACTCAGATGTCCTGTTTTCTTACTTTCTAGATTTATAATTGTGTTCTACCTAGTTTGGAAAGGGTGGATGAGGCCCAAATAACTAGGCCAATTTTTGAATATCAATTTTTAAAAATCTTTTATTAGTTTACATGTTAGGCTAATCCAAGTTGGTAGAATAATCTGCTCATTGGGAGAGTCAGTACACCACCAAAATAACCTGACAAATTACCCAAATTATATAAAGCCATAGCACTTAGAATTGAACTGGGTACAAATAAATAAATAGATCATAATAGTGAATGCATAAATGATCCAAAAAATACCAGAAAGGTGGCCTTTCAAATCAATGGGGAAAAATAAAGGTTACTTAATAAATGATAGGAAAAAATACATAGTTTTTGAAGAAAATGAAACCAGATTTCTATATTACCCCTTATGTCTAAAGAGAACTTAGATATATTAAAGACTTTAAATAACACATGTGTAAATATATCTATTTTTATAAGCATGAAACCATGACTTAAATAAAGTATGTGTCAAAAAATTTAGTTAGCTTATTAATTAAGGAACAAGTAATATGTTTAAAAATTGGTCCAAAGGAGAACTCAAAGAACAGATACATATATCAGCAATCAGGAATTCTAAAATGAATTTGCTAATAGATGCAAAACTGGCCTGTCCACAGGGGGAAATTAATTGCATCTTTTTTTTTAATGTACTTTAAGTTTTAGGGTACATGTGCACAATGTGCAGGTTAGTTACATATGTATACATGTGACATGCTGGTGCGCTGCACCCACTAACTCGTCATCTAATTAATTGCATCTTAATCAGACAGAATTATTTTGTATGTCTGGACAATAATCATTTCCATCTCTCAGTTTTCTACAATTTAGAGGGTTATAAAGTAGCTCAAAAAACAAAAAAAGGGGGTGCGAGGCAAAACTCTTATAGAATCAGATAACCCAGAAGCAGCATATAATATTTCGTTGAAAGTACACCCACCCAGTAATCTTTTTTGCTTCTTTTAAAGTCTTTCCAGTTTCCGTAACAACTTCCCCTTTGTGACTATAAAAATCTCAAAGATTATTCTTGGTCATAAAAAGAATGGTCCCATTAGCCTTGGCCTGATTATTTGCATGGGTGCGGCAAGGGTGTTAATTAACCACATAAGCTTCCTTGAATTTGGTTTGCAATTCTAGAGCTATGTACTATTGAACAGCTACTGGAGCCACAGAACTGCACTTTTAAAAGTCTCTATGGGTTGAGGGGGAAAAAGTCTCCATCATTTGCTAGCTCAGGGCTAGGAAAGCAAGCCCGAGAGACTCCACCGTATTCACCTATACCATCTATAGATTTGGATGAATTCCTTTCTACTTGAGGTCGCTTAAATTTACTAAGGTTCATGGCCTGCCAGGAAGTGCTCTTTGTCACCACCCATCATAATAGGATCCTATAGACCAGTTTAGGTACTAGGCTCTAGGTTACAACCCTAGAAGGTTGGTACTAAGCCAGGGTTTTGTAGGCATTGGCTACAGAAATAAAATTAACCTTTGTTCCTTGGAGTTGTTTGACATACCTGTTAAATGACCATCATCCTCACATATGATCTTCCAAGTAAGGCCATGGTGACATTCAATTTTGTCCAGTTATGCACCGGGAAAGAAAAAGACTCTTGTTGAACCTATGCAAATAACTACATTGCTGTCAAAAAGGTAACTCAGTCACAGTGTTTAAACTCGGGGTGGGGGAGAGTTCAGTGAAAAGCAGGAAGAAAATGTTTAGTTTTATTTTACAAAAGCAGAGTCTACTGAATTGTTGTAGACTGAAGATAGCCTAAGAAGAAAGAGAAATGTCTTCCTTATATATCCAGCAAATACAGCCTTAAAACAACATCAATACAACCACAGTGAAAATTTTCCTCATCAGCTCATTCTGTCCTTTGTAATTGTGTTTTGCTGAATTTTGGATTGGCATTTCTGCATTCAGAAAGCTATGTGCTTCTGCATTGAAAAGACTCCTGTAAATTCATACTCATTACACAGGTACAGACTGAAAATTGTCTAAATACCATCAGCTCAGGGTTTGTACCCAAGAGTCTATTCTTTGAATAGACTTCGATAGTTTAAAGTACTTGGTGCAATCTTCTTCCATGAGACTCTGAGGCTCTTTCTTTGCTGAAGAACCAAATTTTGGCTTGTAGTTAATAGCAGAGACTAAGGTTAGTTTCAGGAAGCAGAAACCTATTTGATAATAAGACCAAAAGTTGTAGTTAATTTACCTCAGTAACTAATAGTTATCCATTATATCTTAGGTATCCTTACCGATAACCTTGAAGGACCACGTGGTATTCCACTGAAAGGTCACCTAATAATCTGTTTTGCCCATTTCAAAGTCCTTTGCAATTTTTCTCTTGCAATATATATATCTATATCTTATATAGATAATACCTTGGAGTGCAGAAGATCTCTCTTGTTACAAAACATAGGAGCCACAGAGGAAGTAATTGATCAGTAAATATTTTAAAACTCTGTATGACATACAATAGTGCTAACATGTAAAAAAATCTGAAAATCCAAATGGGATACAAAACTAATATTTGCCACTCATATGTTGCAATGGATGGGACCTGCCTCTTCAGTTTGAGGTTCAAATTATTCAAAATATTCCCCTGGCCAAATTTCCAGGATGCCTAACACCTCTTTCTTTCCCACTTCCAAATGGTGCAAGAACCCAGAGGTGTCTGCTTCCAAACTCCAGGCAAAGAGAGAACTGGTGAATGTAGGCTTCACAGCAGGCTTCCTTCCCACCTCATTCATTTCCGCCACTGCCACATGATGTCCTTGTTGAACACCGGCCCTGTGTAATCTGTTACATCTGTGTCTGCTGCTGCAATCATGTCCTCATAGGTCCACAACTTGAGGAGGGCTGAAGCAGCAGAGGAAGGTTGACCCCAATCCACACAGTGCTATGGTAGCTGTCACTTTCGGAGCCCAAGCAAGGAATGGCTCCTCAGTTTGCCACCAGCTCACTCCCAATCCATACCCTCCACCCTGTCTGGCTCAGGGGGGCCTTTTGTTTACAGCTGTACATTGTGTTAAAACCAACCCTCTCACTTTCCCCCAACCCTCTCACTTTCCCCCAACGCATGGGAGTTGAAACTTGATACTGATTCCAGGTTCTACTCCTGATGTCCTCATGGTGAGTTCCTCTGTAGAACTCTTACTGTTTCTTGCTCCTTCCACGATTATCTTAATCCACAAGTGAAGTATGAAAAGTAGCAAAACCCAAAAGGGAAAAAATTGAGTAGGAGACAATATTATTTTCCCAGGAGCTGTCCTGGTGCCTCTGCAACTTTGCCTGACTCAATAATTTTTGGTGCAGAAATGTCTGACTTGGGGCACTCAGGTTAAACCACAGAAACACTGTCACATCCTTCCTTTGGAGTGGTGCTTGCCTGATTGGCTCCTTTTTTAAAAATCCCCTTTTCAAGAAAATTTGGCTGCTATTCAGAATTTAAGGGCCATTCGACTTTTCTCTTGTTTAAAAGTGGCTAATTGTCTTCACAAAGAAGCACCTAGAAGCTTCTTAAAGTTTCCCTAAGCAGCCCTTGGCTACGTAGCATAAGGCTAATTTCCTTAATAAATCAAGAGCTTCTAAAAATCACTAAGAAGGAAAAAAATAAGCTGTAGAAAATAAAAAAGGAGCCACCAGAAAAAGAAATACAATAAACACTTGAGATGTGTTCAATCTAACGCTCTAACTCTTAAATCAATACATGCAAATTAGAATATCTATATGATACCTTTTTATTTCTTTTTCATATTGGCAAAGACCAAAATGGTTGCTGTTATAGTTCCGGTAAGGATGTAAGAAACAGGCATTTGTGTATGCAGTTGGTGAGAATGTAAACTGTTGCAACCTTTTTGGAGAGCAATTTGGCAATATCTATGAATATTGTAAGTGCTCTTTACTTTTGTCCCATCAATTCTGTGTCTGTGAATTTTTCTAAACTCACAAGAAGGTATAAGAACATATGAACGATAGAATGTCAGATTCACATCTTGTCTGTTTACCTCAGTTCATATTCCAGCCTCTCTTCTTTTATGTTTCTGTAGTCCTCCTAGCTGTTCTTTCACCACTTCTGTTTTTTCAATAAGCTCTTCAACAGTCCTTATATTTATACTTCCCCTAACTAAACCCAGCCCCAGCCCTGTTTTCCATATTCAAGCTCGCAGTTAGCCCAGCTCCCTACCACAGATAGAAACTAGAGATGGTATTTGACCATATGCATCAGAAAATATTAATTGGTAAATCCCTGTTCAACTCTAGTTTGTTTCCGCATAGCCAGTTTCAAAATGATAG
This sequence comes from Homo sapiens, assembly GCF_000001405.40. Classification (NCBI taxonomy): domain Eukaryota; kingdom Metazoa; phylum Chordata; class Mammalia; order Primates; family Hominidae; genus Homo; species Homo sapiens. The sequence goes on along the minus strand of NC_000012.12, from coordinate 46,177,088 downwards.
GGGTAGTTTTTATGAAATTTATGAATTTAGGACAGCTTTAAAAAATAATTATGCTAGGGCCCTACCTCAGACCAATTAAATCATAATCTCTAGTGGTATAGTCAGAGATATTTTCAAAATCTTCTAGGGTGGAAGGTGGGAGGAGATAGAGGATCAGGAAAAATAACCAATGGTTTAATACCTGGGTGACAAAATAATCTGTACAACAAACCCAAGTGACAAAACTTTACCTATGTAACAAACCTGCACATGTACCCCTGAATTTAAAAGTTAAATTAAAAAAATTATTTTAAAAAATTACTCCAAACTTAAGATGAAGAGAAGATATAATATGAAACTGGGAAATTATTTACCAGTCCTAGCCAAGGGTTATTTAATTATCTAGAGGAATGTACTTTTGTTTGTTCAGATTTTTATCTGGTAGAGATGCAAATGATTTCTGCCCAGTAGAAAAATAACCTCAAAGGTTTGTATCTAACTTAACAATCTTGTTATATTTTTCTATTATTTCTATATGCCTGTAAACATCCAGTTCTTCAAAATGCTCTGAATTTTTTTTTTTTTTCTTTGAGACAGGGTCTCACTCTGTCACCCACGCTGGAGTACAGTGGCTAGAACACGGCTAACTGCAGGCCTGAGTTTCCGGGCTCAAGTGATCCTTCCACCTCAGCCTCTTCAGTAGCTGGGGCCACAGGCACACACCACCAGACCTGTCAATTTTTTTTTTTTTGTAAGGATGGGGTCTTACTAACTTACAAGAAGATATAAGAACAAGCAATCCTCCTGCCTCTGCCTCCCAAAGTGCTGGAATTGCAGGTGCAAACCACCACACCTGGCCTCAAAATGTTCTTTGAACCAGCTTTACCATCCTACTTCAGATTGCCTGTGTGTGGCCTTTGTCTTATTATTTTTGTTAAGAATACTATCAGCCAGGTGCAGTGGCTCATGCTTGTAATATCGGCAGGAGGATCGCTTGAGCCCAGGAGTTTGAGACCTGCCTGGGCAACAAAGTGAGATCCTGCCCCTACAAAAAAATATATTTTTTAATTAGCCTGGCATGGTGGTATGCACCTATGGTCCCAGCTACACGGGAGGCCAAGGCAGGAGGATGGCTTGAGCCCAGGAGGTTGAAGTTGCAGTGAGCTGTATTCACATCACTGCATTACAGCCTGGGTGACACAGTGAGACTCTGCCTCTTAAAAAAAAGGAAAAAAAGAATACTATTCATAGGATGTGAAATTCTCATCTCTGTTGTGATATTTGATGTTGTCATACTTGCTGCCCCCATGGTATTTATTATCTTTGATCATCAGCTTTTTATTTTATTCATGATATGGGTACCGTGGACATAGAGTAATTTTTTGATATATTCTTGATGAGCAAAAAATGTCTTATATGAAGATAAACATTGCAATTCCAATTTTTGGAAACAATAGGCAGGCCAAACAGAATGTGTCTGAGAGCAGGACAGGCCCCTGACCACCACCAGTTGGTGACTTTTTCTTCAGTCAGTCACATTGGAAGCAAATTAGATCTGTATGAACAGCTCAGCACTTGGAAATCGGGCATCAGAAAACATGTTATATACCATCCCTACCTTTTGAAAGGATAGCTCTTCTAAGTAGTTTAGAAGCAGTCCTTTCTGCCTGGGGAAGCCGCTTGCTTTTACTTTTCAAACATCAAAGTTTTTATTTGAGGTAAAGGTTTATTTTCCTGTGGAATACAGATGGTTTGGAACAGCATGAAGGAAAAAGTTAGATCTACTTTCCATTCATAGTTTTCAAAGACCCTTTTGACAGTCAAATGATGTCCTTATTCCTGGATCTGTTCCCTGAGAGATTTTCAGTATAGCCCACTATGTGATGTACATGCCGGGTATTCAGCATTTCCCCGCTTACTTAACCCGTGACTGACAGGTGTAAATGGCACAGCAGCCCTGCCACTGATGGGGACGGTGTGGAGATGTGTTTGCGTGTCTGCACTGCTCCCCCGTGGGATGGTGCCAGTTTCCCTTTGGGTTTTGCTGGATACTGCGTCCTTCCTTGTGTGGCTCCTTCCCTTCCCAGCCTCACTCCCTGACCCTCTGTGAATTCTTCTTGGGAACACTTCCTAATAAATCACTTTCACGTACATTCTGTATTGGGATTTGCTTCTGGGAAACCCAACCTAATACGTTAAGTGTGCCTCAGCTCACAGTACCTATAGGTTATATTTTAAATAATCATTTTCCCCCTATTGTTTTGATCTTTCTTTAAAAAGTAAAATAAAATCCTGGTTATGTTTTTTGCCTTTTTTTTTTTCTTTTTTAGTATGGGGTTGGGGCAGGCCTTAGCTAAGTCTTGTGGACCTTCCTCCCCGTGTTCAATATCAAACATATAGATAATGCTCCTTTTGGAATAAAATTCCCCTACCAATCTCCCAAGGTTCTTTCTCTGAATGACATAACCACATAAACCACGTAAACAGCATATTCTGTCTGCAGTGTCTGTTCACCTGGGACCTAGCATGGGATTTCCAAACTGTTCTCAGGAACACCCCATAGTTCCCCTCTCAGACTTCCCTGATAACTCTTGCAGACCACATCCCCTTTTCAAATAATGCTCTCAGGGGACACTCACTGCATTGTTTGTGTGTGCTGTGTGAAATGAATGGCAAATACTTTACTACCCTCACATTTGAAATGACCGACTAAATAATCGATTCTTCGAGTAGTAGGTCAGTAAGTCGTATCATGTGATTGTTCGCAATTCCTCCAAGGCTCCACGACTTCCCATATCACTCAGAGAAAAAGCCGAAGCCCTTCCCCAGATGGTCTTCCCGTGATCGCTTCCTCCCACATCCTGAAACCCCCCACCCCAGCCACCACCACCCAAACTGGCCTTGTTCCTGGAACATAACGAACAGACTCTGACCTCAGGGCCTGTGCACTTACTGTTCCCTTTGCTGTCATCCTCTTCTCACGCTTATTCATGTATAATTTATTGTCACTGCCCTCAGGTCTCTTCTCAGGTGTCACCTTCTCACTAAGACACTCTCAGGGCATTTCACAACAAATAACAACTTACCTACCCATCCCACTCACACTTCACTCCCTATATGCTTTCTCTTGCTTTATTATTATTATTTTTTTAGTCAACTCTTGTCTTCATCTGAAATGCTTTAGTTTGTTTAGTTATTTGTTTATGGTCTATGCCTACCTAGAATGTAAACTCTATGAGGGCAGGGTTTATTTTGTTCACTGCTGTCTCTCAGCACCTGAAACTGGGTAAGTGTTCAAATAAATATTTAAGTGAATAAATACATGATAGTGTTTACACTAAGTCACATTTCATCTTTAAAGTGGAATAATTAGACACAGGATTCAACATCATGTTTCCAGATTTATTTTTCTTTCTCTTTACAATTGTTTAATTTAATTTAAAAATTTATTTCTTCCTAGGGGTTTCAAAAATTATAGGTTCCTCCTTGCAAGATGTCAAATATTACAGACATGTATTAAGAAATGACTAATAATCTTCTCTCTTATTATCCCACCCACTGAAACAATAAAAATTAATACCCTTTTCCCCAGTGCTTGCATAGCAATACATATCTACCTAGAGACACATAGATGTAGGGCTGGATTTGTTTGTTTGTCTTTAGAATATTAGACTGATACTAAATATCAGGAATATGACTTTCAGCATGGTGGTTACACAAACGGATTCTAAAGTCAGACTGGTTGGATTCAAATTTATTGGATCAGCAATCTCAGACATGTTATTTGATGCCTGGTTTTGCCTTTGTAAAATGGAAGTAATAAGAGAAGCTTTCCATAAAATTGCTGTGAGAAGTAAATGACATTAATTAAAACAACAGCAACAACTTAGAATGGTACACATCACGTTTAAGCATAAGTAAATTATCTGATTCTTTTCCCACTTAATAGATTTTGAATATGCCTCTGAAACAGTACCTATAGATTTAATTCACTCTAGGAATACTTGCATAGCATTCCCTGGTATGCATAAACCAGGGATATATTTTTTTTTCAATCTCTCCTCTATTGAGAGACATACAGATTTTTATAGTTTTAACCAGTACACACAGTGCTGCAACAAATATCCTCACCACAGGTACTTGTAAATTGCTGCATTGTTTCTCTAAATATCCCAAAATATCTCATAAAATCCTAAAAGTGAGATTGTTTGGGGGATTCAAAAGGTCTCTGCTTATTTAACTTCAACAGAAATTATCAAATTACTTTTTAAAACTATTAGTAATAATCCACAAATACACAAGTAATAAATATTTGCCCCTTTTCCTGCACCCTCACCAGTACTAAATGCTGAGACACTTTTAAAGTTTTGCTTAGTGATGACAAAAACATGAAATTTTGTTTTCATTTTATTTTAAAATTTTAAACCATGACTGATCATTGCTTCATGTGTTTACTGGCAATTCTCATTTCCTTTCCTATGAAATGTCTCTTCAAGTTCTTTATCATGGCTCAGTAGGGTTGTCTTTTTTTTTTTACTCAATTTGTATAAGAGGAACAAAGGAACACTTGTTTTTTGTTGTTCGTTGAATTTTTGTTTTTTAAGACAGGGTCTCACTCTGTCACCCAGGCTGGAGTGCAGTGGAGCAATCATAACTCACTGCAGCCTCAAGCTCCTGGGCTCAAGCGATCCTCTTGCCTCAGCCTCCCGAGTAGCTGGGACCACAGGCACATACCACCATTCCTGGCAAGAACACTTGCTTATTATTTGTGTTATGAAATATTTTTTTCCCAGTCTACTGTATTTGGTTTTAGACTTCGTAATATCTCTTGTATCCTTTTATTTCATGTTTTCATGTAGTCAAATTTATCTATTCTTATTTTAAGGTTTGGGGTTTTCTTTATTTCTTGTTTTTGTAAAGAAATTCTTAGTATCAAGTAATAAGAATATCTTCCTAAAATTTAATCTAATTAGTGTATTATCTTGTTTATAATATTTGAGATCTTCAATCCATCTGAAAAATATTTGTGTATGTACATGAGGTGAGGGCATAACTTTTCTTATAGATGGATGGATAATTAAGTCAGCACTATTTATTATATAAGCCACTCTTTGCCTGTTTATTGATGAAGTTTTCAAGTATATTTCCATTTGTTTCTTGGCTTCCTCTTCTAGTCTTCTTACTAATTTTTCTAGTCCTGTGCTAACACTGTCTGGATTACAGTCATTTTGTATTATGTTTCAATAATTGATATAGCAAGGCTCTCTCAACCCTTCTTTTAAAAAATTATTGGTCACTTTTAAATGTATAATCTTCTTCTTGGTGCTAAAATAATTTTGCGCAAGTTTTGAAAGCCTTTTTGGATGTAGCTAGACATTGAAATACATTAACCTTTTTTATTTAGGAAAAAGAGACGTTTTTCTTACATTAAGTCTTCTTCCCATCTAAAACATGGCATGTCTCTCAATTTATGTAGATGTTATTTTGTATTTTTCAGAAAGAATTTAGTCTGCTTCATATAGATCCTATACCTTTCTTTTAAGATTTATTCCTGAGAATTGTGTTGTTTTTGTCACAATTGTAAACTGAATATTTTTCTCCTTCTCCATTTCTAACCGATTACCAGCAGGCTCTAGATTCTTTATGTTATTATGCCAGGTAGAAGAAGCATCTTACTTATTTCCAGGTTTGTCAACTTATCACTGACATTCTTTTTTCCTTTAAAATTTGCCATTATTCTAGCTCTAAACACAGTAAGTTTGAAAAGCTATATCTGCTTTATATTATGTGCTTTATATATAACTCATGTGATTTTCCCTTGTGAGAAAGTTTAACAGAGGGCCAGGCGTGGTGGCTCATGTTTGTAATCCCAGCACTTTGGGAGGCCAAGGCAGGTGGATCACTTGAAGTCAGGAGTTCAAGACCAGTCTAGACAACATGGCGAAAACGGTCTCTACTAAAAAATACAAACATTAGCCAGGCATGGTGGCACGTGACTATAATCCCAACTATTCAGGAGGCTGAGGCACAAGAATAGCTTGAACCCAGGAGGCGGAGGTTGCAGTGAGCCAGTAAGCTGATATGGCACCACTGCACTCCAGCCTGGGTGACAGAGCAAGACTGTGTCTCAAAAAAAAGAAAAAAATTAAGAGTACTTAGGTTTTATCTATGAACCAAAAAGTTATTTTACAAATATTTATGAGAAAAAAACTCTAAGAATGCAGGATTTGGAGTTGGACATAGGATTACTTTACATCACACAATGTGGTTAAAAAGACTATTGTGTGACTAGCACCTGCCACTTTGCTGTGACCATTTATAGATTCCCCTTCAGTAGTATTTTCATAACTCAGCCCCCTAATTCAAACCATAATGGCCTCAGCAGCGAGAGCAGATGGGAAGGTAAAGAGATTCAGCATGAGGACTGGTTCTTGGGGGAGGCCATCCAGCCGCCATTTGAGGGAAGGTTCAGGAGGCCTATAGGAACTGTCATACCAGCTTCAGGGGTGATGGCCTTGTGTTGGAGCTACTGATTCCAAAAGGAAAGTGACTAGGTTCCTTGTAGTGATGCAACTGCAACAGAAAGTCAAAAGCAATTCCTAGGTGAGGATGACAATAAGCATTGGCCAGGAATCTTTTCCAAAGACAGCAGGTCCACAGTCAACCATACTGTACCTCAGGGCAAGTCTCCAGTCCTAGAAGGGACAAGAGTACTCAACAAGGTACTGACTGGAACTTAGAAACCAAGGCTGAGGCAAAAGCCAGTGCCACCAGCTGAGGCAGCAAACAGGTACAGCAACAGCAGGATCTGATAACAAGGTGGTCTGGGAGTAACTCCTGGGCACAAAGGCTGCCAGTATGCCATCAGATCCTGGGTCTGGCCTCTTGGTTCCTTGACCTCCCCTCCTTCAGTGACTTTGTCCTCCATGCTAGTCACTCACTTGCATCATAATATCTAGACCTTGGCATCACCAACAATTGCAACTCCTCCATAATCTCAGTTCCATATATCCCACTTTCTGACCACCACTTCCTGTCTGTATAGCTTACTCTTTCTGTTACCTGAATGCCAGCTCTCATTCATTTTCACCAGATGACAAGTTCTCTGCATTCTCACTGCCCCTTATGCCTTTTACGTCCTTTTTACTTCTTTATCCAGCTTAAATTCCACAATTATTACACAAGAGTATCTTATTATACTTCCTTTCATTGCACTTAGCAGATAGTGCATTTTTTACATATTGAAGATTTGTGGCAACTCTGCCTTGAGCAAGGCTATCAGCACCATTTTTTCAACAGCATGTGTTCACTTAATATCTGTGTCACATTTTGGTAATTCTTGTACTATTTCATACTTTTCCAATATTATTACATCTGTTACCATGACCTCTTGTTACTGATCTTTAATGTTACTATTGTAATTGTTTTGGGACACCACAAACTGCACCCTTATGAGACAGTGTACTTAATTGATTAATGTGTGTGTTTTGACTGTTTTACCAACTAGCTGTTCCCATTTCCCTCCCTCCCCTCAGGCTTCCCTCTTCCCTGAGACCCAACAATACTGAAATTAGGCCAATTAGTAACCCAACCTCTAAGTGTTCAATTGAAAGGAAGAGTTGTGTGTCTCTCCCTTCAACCCAGTTAGAATCGATTAAGCTTAGTGAGGAAGGCATGTTGACAGCCAAGATAGGCTGAAAGCTAGGCTTCTTGCACCAAACAGTTAACCAAGTTGTGAATGCAAAGGAATAGTTCTTGAAGGAAATTTAAAGTGCTACTCCAGTGAACACACAAATGATAAGTGAAACAGCCTCATTGCTGATAGAGAGACAGTTTTAGTGGTCTGGATAGATCAAACCAGTCATCACATTCTCTTAAACCAAAGCCTAATCCAGAGAAAGGCCCCAACTCTCTTCAATTCTATGAAGGCTGAGATAGGTGAGGAAGACGTAGAAGAAAAGTCTGAAGGTATCAGAGGTTGGTTCATGAGGTTTAAGGGAAAAAGTCATCTACCTACAATAAAAGAGCAAGGTGAAACAGCAAGTGCTGATGGAGAAGCTGCAGCAAGTTATCCAGAAGATCTAGTTAAGATCATTGATGAAAGAGTCTATGCTAAAAACATATTTTCAGTGTTGACCAAACAGCCTTCTATTGGAAGAAGATGCCATCTGAGACTTTCATAGCTAGAGAGGAGAAGTCAATGCCTGACTTCAAAGCTTCAAAGGACAGGCCAACTCTCTTGTTAGAGGCTAACGCAGCTGGTGACTTTAAGTTGAAGCCAATGTTCATTGACCATTCTGAAAATCTGAGGGCCCTTAAGAATTATGCTAAATCTCCTCTGCCTATGTTCTATAAATGGAACAACAAAGCCTGGATGACAGCACTTTTGTTTACAGCTTGGTTTACTGAATATTTTTAAGCCCACTGCTGAGACCTACTGTTCAAATGAAGATTCCTTTCAAAATAGTACTGCTTATTGCCAAAGCACCTGGTTACTCAAGAGCTCTGAGGGAGATGTACCAGGAGATAAATGTTGTTTTCTTGTTGCTAACACACCATCCATTCTGCAGCCCATGGATCAAGAAGTCATTTTGACTTTCAAGTCTTCTGATTTCAGAAATATATTTCATAAAATTATAGCTTCTATGGATACATATGGGCAAAGTAAATTGAAAACTTCTGGAAAGGATGCACCATTCTAGATGTCACTTATAACATTTGTGATTCATGGGAGGAAGTTAAAATAGTAACATTAGCAGGAGTTTGGAAGAAGTTGATTACAACCTTCATGGATGGCTTTGGGGGGTTTAAGCCTTCATTGGAGGAAGTAACTGCAGATGTGGCAGAAAAATAAGAGAAGTGGAGCCTGAAGATGTGACTGAATTGCTGCAACCTCATGATAAAACTTGAACAGATGAGCAGGTACTTCATATGGATGTGCAAGGAAAGTGGTTTCTTGAAATAGAAACTATTACTGGTGAAGGTGCCCTGAACATAGTTGAAATGAAGACAAAGAATTTAGAGTATTTCATGAACTTAATTGATAAAGCAGTGGCAGGGTTTGAGAGTATTGACTCTAATTTTGAAAGTTCTACGGTGGGGAAAATGTTATCCAACACCATCACATGCTACAGAAAATTTTTTTCTGAAAGGAAGAGTCAATCAGTGAGGCAAGCTTTATTTTTGTCTTATTTTAACACATTGCCACAGCCACCCTGATCTTCATCAATGACCACGCTAATCAGTCAGCAGCCATCAACGTTGAGGCAAAATCTTCTACCAGCAAAAAGACTACAACTAGCTCAGATGATTGCTAGCATTTTTTTTTACCAATAAAGTATTTTTCAATTAAGGTATGCACATTTTTTAAGACATAATGACATCACACACTTCCTATACTACAGTATAGTGTAAGCTTTTACATGCACTGAAAAACAAAAAATTCATATGACTCACTTACCGTGATATTTGCTTTATTGTGGTGGTCTGGAACTGAACCCACAGTACCCCCAAGGTATGCCTCTAAATCACTCTCTTGCATACTTGCATATAATTCCCTTGCCACTCTTTCACTTCATTGTACTCATTTGGCAAAAGCATAACTCTTGTCAGACTGGATGTTCTTCTCTGTTCACTCCTCTAGATTCTCGCTCTATCCTTCTTTGCTCTGTGCCCTAGGAGGCTGCCTTTTATAGATGTCTTAACAAGATTCTCCCTCCTTTAGCTATTAGTTAGGTTCAGCCAATGAGAGGGACCACGGAGCATGGAAGGCAGGAGAAAGAGTGGTAGGGGTATTGATCTTCTGCTCTTCACTGTCAGGCTGAAGTTTGGCAATGGCTGAGTTTCTTTAAGGCCACAGATCGGAATGAGGGACCTTTCTCCTACAGCTGCACTTGTCACAGGGTTCTTCTGATAACTACTCTTGCCCTTTTAGCCTTGGGGTGGTAATGTCTCCCTGCTGTTGCTAACCCTGGAGTGTTTCATCATCCTGTGGGCTCCCCATATTACAGCCCTTATCTTCAAGAATTGTCCCTTCATTAGATTCTCTTCAATTTTAACTCCTCTTGAAAGTGTCTTTTCTTTCCTCCTTGGGTTAAATCCAATTTTCAGCTACTCAGTGGCTGCTCCTGTGCATCTAAATATGGCTGGAGAAAAACTACAACCTCCTAATGAGTTGTAGTGAAAATTTATGACCAGGAACTATCACTGTGCCCCTAATAGCTACAGGTAATGATACCACATATTTCAAGTTCATTCATTCCCCTCCTCTCTATTTCACACCTTCTTCTCTCTTCTTAAACCCAAAATTTCATCCCATCTTCACTCTCAACAGGTGATTTTATTTCCTACTTTCCTGAGAAAATTGAAGCAATCAGAAGACAACCTCCCCCAACTCGCACCATCTCATGTACCTAACAAGCAGCCTCATCTCCCACATACTCAGCTTTTCTCTGTGGTACCACAGATGATCTATTTCTACTCTATATAAAGCTAGTCTCCACACTTGTGGACTGGACTCCAACCCCTCTTATCAAATCAAGGACATTGCTCTAGCAATTTTCCTTTGTCTCTCCACAGCATCAACATTTTCTCTCTCTCTTCTCTCTCTCTCCAATCATTGTCATCAGTCATATTAGCATTTATATTTCTCTCATTTAAACAACAACAATAACAACACCTCACTTATTCCCTACTGTCCCATTTCTCTTCCTTTCCATTGGCAGCAAGATTCCTAGAAAGAGTTATCTATATTTACTGTTTTCAGCTGCTTTCCTTGCATTTCATTTGAACCCATTCCATGTTATTAATTATAATGCTCAAACCTTGGGCCTTGACATATCAGCAGCTTTTGATGCTCTCCCTCTTCCATAATACTCTCCAAACATACCACATTATTGGTTTTCGTCATACCTCTTGGGTTGCTTCTTCTCACTTTCTTTTGCTGTTTGCTTCGCTTAATTTATCCTCTTAATGTTGTGGTGCCCCAAGGCTCAGACTTGGACCCCTTTTTCATCTACATTTTGATAACCTCAAGCATTCCCATGTCCTTTAATAAATTCTATATGCTAATGATTGCCATTTTTATGAATCTGTTGAACTCCAAGCTCATATGCCCAAGTGCCTACTCAAATCTTCTTGTGAATGTCTGATATTTCCAAAACAAGCCTCTTGATTTCCCTGTTCCCTAAACCAGCTCCATCCATAGCCCTCCCTATCTCAGCTAATGTCAACTCCAATCTTCTAGCAGCTCAGAAAAAAAGTTGTAGTTATTCTTGACTTTCCCCACCAGTACCCCTTATTTTGTCTCCTGTTATCCTTCTTGCTCAATTGGTTCCAGTTACACTGGCTTCTTGGCTGTTCTTTGAATATGCCAGGCATATCTTTGCCATAGAGACTTTCTTGTAACTTATCCCTCTGGGTAGAATGTTTTTGGGGGTGTAAGTGTTTGTGTGTGTGTGTGTGTGTGTGTGTGTGTGTGTGTACCTGTGTGTTTTGAGACAGAGTCTTGCTCTGTCACCCAGGCTGGAATGCAGTGGCGTGATCACAGATGACTGCAGCCTCAATCAACTGGGCCTCCCAAATAGCTGGGACTACAGGCATGCACCGCCATACCCAGCAGTTTTTAAAATTTTTGTAGAGACAGGCCTTGCTGTGTTGCCCAGGCTGGTCTCTAACTCCTGGGCTGAAGTGATCCCCCCGCATCAGCCTCCCAAAGTGCTGGGATTAAAGGTATGAGTCACCTCACCCAGCATAGAATAGAATGCTCTTTCCGCAAATATCATCTGGCTACCTTCCTCTCATCCTTTTAATCCTTACACAGTTCTCATTTTCTCAATAAGACTTACCCTGACCATTCTGTGTAATAATGCAACTTACGTATACATAGACACACACACACACACACACACATGCACACACACATCCTTAACTCCATTTTGTCATTTTCTCAGAGAACTTACCACCTTAATTATAAATATTGTTTGTTGTCTATATCGTCTGCTGAAATATAAGCTCTACAAGGGGATGGGGGATCCTTCTGTTTTGTTCACTGATATATCCCAAGTTCCTGGAACAGTTCCTGGCACATAGTAGACACTCAAATATTGAGTAGGCACAAAAATGTTGTGGAATGAATGGAAGGTAAATTAAATATTATTAAATCCTGCTGGTATGGAGGAGGAATCTAAGTATGCTTGTATCCTGCTTATCTCAGACAAAATGGGATCAAGGACCAGGTCAGAACTCATATAGAGAGTCTACCTGGATAGGTCTGGATAGGAGAGTCTAGCCAAGGTAGAGGCAGTTTTAGGGAAAGGGAAAAAAGACCAGCAGATCCTCCCAATCTTGCAGCAGTGTAAGGCTCAGCTGAGAAGATCCTTGTCCATGCTGGTTGGAATTTGGAGAGTTCTGCAAGGTCCAAATGCGGAGAAAGTAATAGGTAATAAGGTACTAGGGTTTATTCACTGACATAACTAGAGAAAGCTTTTGCTAATGATAAGATATGCATCCCAGCATGTATTTGCCTAAGATATTCAGGAATACAGAAATCAGAGGGGTGTGTGTGTGTGCGTGTGCACATGTGTGTGTATAGAGTGTTTTTGCTCCCACCTTTTCCTGAATGTAGTTTATACAATCCAGAAGGAATGAGACAATGTGCAAGCCCCAGACCAAAGATGAGTTCCAGAGATTCTCTGTTCAGGCTTGTCTGCCCAACCCTTTATCAAGTTTCACTCCCTGAGGAAATCCAACCAGTTACACCAGCATCTACAGATGTTAATCTGTACTAGTATAGCTCAGTGCCTTTCAAAACATGGCCCGTGGATCACCTGGATCAGAATAGTTGGGTGTCTCTGACAAAAATGTAAATTCCTGAATCCCCCTCAAACCTATTAAATCATAGGATAGGGCCAGGAATCTGCATACTCAAGAAGTTCCCTAGATAATTCTGGCACATATAAAAGGTTGAGAACCACTGCTAGAGATGAAGAGATGTGCTTTGCCCTACTTTCATTGGTCTATACTATTTCATCTTTTATTCTAAGTCTCATCCTTTTTTTGTTTCGCATTTTAAAAGGAAGACTTTGTTCTGAAAATAATCCATCTTTGGGATTAATTGGGAAATTACAGATAAAGTTTACTTGATTCGATGATTCCTGTGACTCATTTCCTCTCCTTCATGTACTTTTAGGTGGGTGATAAGAAGCGCCAATCCATATCCTAACCAGGCACACAAATTCCCCTTTTTCTCCCAGTTAGGGTTTTGTTGAACTTTTTTTTTTTATACTTTAAGTTCTAGGGTACATGTGCACAACGTGCAGGTTTGTTATATATGTATACATGTCCCATGTTGGTGTGCTGCACCCATTAACTTGTAATTTACATTAGGTATATCTCCTAATGCTTTCCTTCCACCCTTCCCCCACCCCACAACAGGCCCCAGTGTGTGATGTTCCCCTTCCTGTGTCCAAGTGTTCTCATTGTCCAATTCCCACCTATGAGTGAAAACATGCAGTGTTTGGTTTTTTTGTTCTTGCAATAGTTTGCTGAGAATGATGGTTTCCAGCTTCATCCAGGCAACCTACAGAATAGGAGAAAATTTTTGCAATCTACTCATCTGACAAAGGGCTAATATCCATAATCTACAAAGAACACAATCAAATTTACAAGAAAAAAACAAACAACCCCATCAACAAGTGGGCAAAGGATATGAACAGACACTTCTCAAAAGAAGACATTTATGCAGCCAGCAGACACATGAAAAAATGCTCATCATCACTGGCCATCAGAGAAATGCAAATCAAAACCGCAATGAGATACCATCTCACACCAGTTAGAATGGCAATCATTAAAAAGTCAGGAGACAGCAGATGCTGGAGAGGATGTGGAGAAATAGGAACACTTTTACACTTTTACACTGTTGGTGGGACTGTAAACTAGTTCAACCATTGTGGAAGACAGTGTGGCGATTCCTCAAGGATCTAGAACTAGAAATACCATTTGACCCAGCCAACCCATTACTGGGTATATAACCAAAGGATTATAAAGCATGCTGCTATAAAGGCACATGCACACGTATGTTTACTGTGGCACTATTCACAATAGCAAAGACTTGGAACCAACCCAAATGTCCAACAATGATAGACTGGATTAAGAAAATGTGGCACATATACACCATGGAATACTATGCAGCCATAAAAAAGGATGAGTTCATGTCCTTTGTAGGGACATGGATGAAGCTTTTAAACTGCCTTGTCTTCAGCTCTAGATCAACAATTCCTTCTAAGTTAAGGACTGTTTTCCAGAGAAAGTGAAAGTTTCATGCCAAATACAGGAACTGAGCAGAATTTGAGGCTAAAACATCCTCTCTCAATATCAATTAACCCCAGGCCGAATTGCAGTAGACAGACTATCATCTGTAGCATCATCCATGATTTAGAACAATGCAATCATGAACTGCAATCTGTAAGTATGCTTTCCTCGCCGAGCAACCCACTGTCTGGTACCAAACAGGTAGAAAGTCATATCTAAGGGGTTCCCCAGTTATCATAATTTGATTTCAGCAAATAATCAGATGATCTTAAGATCTTCTAGATTATTTCTTAAAGGGAAACTCAATAGAGGAAATTTAGCTAACAGAATACCTATCTTTCCAACGTCTCTCTAAAACAAAATGATTTGGCTTTTATTAAAGGAGACTTCAAAGCAAACTCTTTTTGCCCAGTTCACCTTCATTATCATCGAAGCTAAAGAGAATTCAGCAGATATTAGGATAATTCCAAAAGACTGTTTTTTGCTCTTGGGTTATCTTGCTTTCCAAATGATACCCCAAATCCCCAACAATCAAGTAGAATTCCAGAACCATTTAAAAGCATAGGAAATTTCAACACACCCTGTCTCTTCAGAACCCAGTTGCTTTCAGAAAGAAGAATTCTCTTTATCAGTATTTTAGAAGGACATATCAAAATGCTTGTCATTTTGAAATTTCTATTAATTTTGTATTACTTCGTACTTTTCAGTTCTCAAAATAATACTGTGAAAGTGACTATTTTTTTTTTTCAATTTTCCCAACTTTGTTGGGGGTGGGGAAGCATACGATGTAAATTTATTAAATCTAGGCTAGAACCTCATAACACCGTTTACTAGAGACAAATTTGGTAAGGAGGGTCCAACTTCTATGGTAAGTGGGTTAACTGATGAAGGAGCCTGTCCTCATGGGGCAGTTTCAGCTATAACCAGTGCTACAACACTGCCCACAAGCAAAGCCTTATATCAGACCACCACACAAAATGGAAATAAGGTAGGAAACAGGCCTTACATCCTGCCCAAAAAGGCATCCAGCATAACCTGCCTTGCAGTGAACTGGCTTGGGTTCTTGTACTCCTTTGGAGAGTAGTCCTTAGGTAGGTAGGGTAGGAAGCAGAGCTCCATTCTTGGGGTGGAGGACCAGCCTGAACAAAACAGTATGTCAGAACCTCCCTCCACTAGACGAGGCTTCAGGAAGCGGGCTGTCTTTTACAGAGATTTGGTGTCCTAGGCAGGTAGAGATATCCCCAGTCAGCTCTATGAGCACTAGTCCCATGTCTGATGGGAAGCAAAGCTAGACTCTGGAGTCTGTGTGTGTGTGTCTGTGTGTGTCTCTCTCTGTGTGTTAATGCCTGTTCTTCTGTTCCACAATTCCCCCACAAGGCCCAAGGACAAATGTATTGTCTAGGAGAATTTGCAAGGAGGTAGGAACATGGCTCTGGACTCAGACTGACCTTGGTTGGAATCCTGCCTCTGCTACTTAAAAGCTAAGTGACATTGGGCAGGTTTCCTTAATCTCCTTCAGTCTCAGTGTCCGCAACCAGAAAGTGGGAATAATAATAGTCATCCCATAGAATGGTTGTAAGGAATAATTAGACTGGATAGCATATTGTAAATTTTCTAGCACAGTATCTGTCACATAGTAAGCCCACAATAAGCGCCCCTATTAACATTAAGATGATCTTATCTGTGCCATTTTCCATGCTTCCTTTGAATTCATGGAACAAAGTAGTGAAAAACTCTGCTCAGCAAGTACAAAATCATTGTTTAGACCAGATCTGAGGCCAGCATAAAAGCCAAAAGAATGTTGTAGTTAGAGAGTCCAAATGCAACCCTAGCTCTTCTGAATTCCCTAAGGGGCTGCTCAAGGTAAAGCTGTCACAGAGAGTTTGTGATTAAACCATTGGATAAAAGCCAGACACATTGCATGCTTGAAAAAGGAGTTATTTTCACAAGGGTAATTGCCAGAGACTGATGCAGTCAAGAGTCAAAACAGGGTAGATTCTCATCAGAAATGTGTGCCCACAGAAAAGACTCTTGGCAGAGGACACGCAGCATTAGGCTGTGACATCAGACTTTTGGGCCACTGAGTTGCATAAGCAGGCCCAGTAGAGCGAAAACTCACCAGTAAGAATTAACGCTGGTGGAAGTTTAAGAATGCCAGGCCCCAAGAAGCGTGCAAAATCACATTGCTACGGAACAGCTGGTTCCTTCAGTGCCTGAGATCTTTGCCAGATTCCATCTTTTTCCATAATAATATATTACCTCTATTAACTTACAGAATCCAGGGCAAGATTATATGAAAACTACTAGATGCTGTGCAAATGGCCCCTTATCTGTAACTAGAAATTATGTATGTTGTAATCAGTTTGCTATAACTAAAACTGCGAGCCCCAACATGAAGAATCTTGTTCTTCATGGCATAAGACGCTTGAGCAGCTTTATTTTATTTTATTTTTTAACTGTCTTTGGCAGCCGTCCAATAATACTCGGTGAGAAGCAGTCCCTTGCACTCCAGCCACTCCCTTGCTGCTCCATTTAGCCCCTTAATAAAGCTTGTTGAGCAATTAAGTCAGGAACATTGAAACCTTACTCACCTTCAGTCAACCTTTCCTTAATTGGGCAATCAATTTACATGCTTCCAGTCCTGACAAAAGAGAAATGCAGTTTTGGCTTTCCAGGAGCGAGCTATTAAGATTGTAGCCATTTATCTGAGTACTGGCTTCTTAGTTACACACATGTAATACAAAAGAAAGATCTACGTGCTTGTTTTCATACTTCATCTTTCTTGATTTTTTTTAGCAAGTGGAAGTTTAAAATCATTGGCTCAAAACATAAAAACACTATTGATATTTCCATAGTATCTTTTTACAATTCTCAGGGTCACTTAGATTTGTGACTGAAAAAAAAAAAAAACATAGCCCTCAAAATGGCTATTTGAATGATTATAATTTCACAAATACATCTTTTATTTGAAAGAATAGTGAACTGAAGTAAGGCATCATTGGTGACTTGTTCCAAACAATTGGTTACACAAGTGTATTTAAAAAGGAAAGCTTTTGTTCACTTTCATATTTTCACTTAGAAGGTTCTTCTTAAATATCTGAAGTGAATTTGCAGGTTGAAAAGTTACAGCCTCATTCATAGATTGGGAACAGTAGTTCTCAAACATCTGTGTGTGTCCAGTGCTGTCCCAGGATCTAGTTTTCACTGGCCAGGAAAAAAATGAGAAAATCGAGCACATTGAAGTGAGGTTTTTTTTTTTTCTTTCATATATTTGAAAGTATTCCATTTAAAGGGCTGACCTTTTCCTAAGATTTTTTGGCTTCTCTCTATCTCCATACTTCTTTTATTTTTAATTGTACTTGTCCATGAAATCTAAATGTCGGGAACCACTGCTGGTATGTCTAGAAATATAAGAGCTTGTCCTCTGAGAATTGGCTGAGCTCACTAAATTCACATTGTGCAGGCCACAGAAAAACTGTCAGCTTTAGGTCAATAACAATTTGGCTCAACTAGCTGAAAATAGCCCCAAATGGTGTCCAGTCTCCTACCCTCTTCCTTGTCTAATTAAATCCACTTCCTCCCCAAATCCTGATCGTCATGAACTGCCTCCATTTTAAAATACAGGAAACGTTGGACCAAACTCATTTATTTGAACCCAAGAAGAGTGAGTAGTAATTGCTGGGTAACCTGTGCTGAATCCAAAGTGATAGAATAATCTCTGAAGAATGAAAATGGAAGGAAATAAATATTCTCACCTCTCTAAAAAACAATAATGTTCACCCACATAAAAAATCTGTAGGCAGGCAGCAGCTCCATTTTGATTCAGCTAGATGGCTTCACGCTAGTGAAGAAAACATTTTGGCAAAGAATTATTTTATCCAAAAGTAAAACACAGAATTCCAAGTACCTGGTATAACCCAAGTGAAAGCACATCCAAAGGAAATCTCTCCATACCCACTGCCTTTTAGCATTACCACTCCTCATTTTACCTCTTAATATAAAGCCACAAAGTGAGTACATGTAACTACAGCACGTCTTGGGCTGAGGTGGCTGGGAAATTTGATTCCCCAAAGAAAGGAAGAGCATGAAAATCCTCTGAGGAAAGTGATCTTGGCAAGGACTCTGGCTAGGACTCCAGCCCATGTGGATTTCTCATCCTTTGAAGTGTTTATGGTTCTATCCAGTTTTTCATCACTGAGAGAGAAAGAAAAAAAAACTACAAAGTCCTCTCTTTTATAGAAGATATTTTCAGATTTAGATTTTAGCTAGCTTCAAATTCTTGTACACAGAGATACATATAAAACTGTCACTTTGATAAAGTTCTAGGAAAAAGTTAATATAATTTTAGAATCCTGTCTACTGAGTATCAGTAGCCATCCTTCATACCCCATAACCAATTATCTACTCTGGTTGATGAGAACCTTCACAGTGATTCTTTTGGCTAGCTTTTATGCCATAAGGAAAGCAAAGTTCCTGGATCTGACATGCAGAAAATCTTGGTTTTAGGAATTCTAAAGAATAGAGAGCAAAGTTTATAAAACAAGAGTTCAGGACAAGAGCCTGTGGCAATCTCCTCTTTCCTCATCTTGGGTACCTCAGTCTTTTATTATATTTTCCTACTACCTACTTTATCCTCCTACCAAAGGTCTGAGTGGGGCATTATTTAGTGCCATAAATAATAAACTGTTAGTGGCTCTTTGATGCTCTCAAAGTACTTTCACTTTTACTGTTATATTTCATCATCACAGAATATATGCAGCAGGTATTCTTACTATCCTGAACTTATTGATGAAAAAATTCAGGTTCACAGATGAATCACAACACCTGGGAAAAGGGACAGAACTGGAACTCAAAAATCAGTTTTCCTTATTTCATAGCCTGTGTTTTAAAAAGCATTTGATGCTAAATAAGTTAGCAGTATAAAGCCTAAGTCAGAAATCTATTTTTTTTAGTTAAACATACTTTATTTTTTCTCAAAATTTGTAATTGCCTGAGTTCCTACACCATGCTTAAAAATGAAACAAAACAAAACTAAGAGTAGAGGTGGTCTCACCACCCAATTCTTCCCTTCTCTCAGGAAATTATAGCCAACAGCATGAAGGGGCCATGGGCAAGCCAAGTAAGGCACTGAAAGATACAGACAGATAAAAAGCAGGACAAAAGTAGAAGTAGTATTTACTACAGGCAAAATCAGTGAACCTGCATTCTGGGGCTGGAGAAGCAGGGCAAGAAACCAAGAAGAATGCCCTCTGGGAGGTGGAGAAGTTACACTAGGAAAAGACAAAAAGTACCAGTTCCAAGCTGAACAGTTAGCACCTCTCATCTCTCCCACATAAACAGTGTTTAAACAGAGGAGACAAACCAATTCTCAAATACAAAGATGAACAAACAACTAAGAATCTGCAAACATTTGGAAAACACTAATACCTTGAAACAAAGGCAAAAACTCAGCAAGTAAAACATTTTGAAGAATCATAGTTAAAAGAGCTCACAACATTTTGGAATAAGCATATAAAAATCTCTGGAAAGATGTAGAAGGACACTGTAACTAAAACATTAGCTGAATATGGTAGAAATTTAAGACTTGAAAAACAAAATAAAAAGATTGATTTAGGGGCAAAATAGTAGAGTGGACATAGACAAATAGCATTTTGAGAATGCTCTCAAAACAATGGAAAACATAAAGGAATAAAGAATACAAAGAGCCAGGCTCAGTGGCTCACGCCTGTAATCCCAGCACTTTGGGAGACTGAGGCAGGCAGATTACCTGAGGTCAGGAGTTCGAGACCAGCCTGGCCAACATGGTGAAACCCCATCTCTATAAAAAATACAAAAATTAGCCAGGCATGGTGGTGGACACCTGTAATCCCAGCTACTCGGGAGGCTGAGGCAGGAGAATCGCTTCAAAACAGAAGGCGGAGGATGCAGTGAGCTGAGATCATGCCACTGCACTCCAGCCTAGGCAAAAGAGTGAAACTCAGTCTAAAAAAAAAAAAAAAAAACAAAAACAAAAAAAAAAACCAAAGAAAAGTTTAGAGACATGAAAGATTGACCCAGATTTCCGCAGCCATTTAATAAGGGTTCTAGAAATAGGAGTTCATTTTAAAGGCATTCTAGAGAAAACGTAGGTGAGAAAAAATTGAGAAATTAGTAAAATAAGATTTCTTAGATTAAGAAAATATTCATATTGTTAACCACCAGGTTCCAAGCAGAATAAATTTTTAAAAAAATGATTTACTCAGAGTGACCCTTGTGAAATTTCAGAACAAAGAGAATAAGGTGGGCATTCTAAAGGCTTCTAGAGGGTAAACAACGGATGATCTATATAAGAATGAATATCATGTTGACATTAGACTTCAATAATGCTGAATTAAGAAGATTGTAACATCCTCAAAGTTCTGAGAAAAGATTGACCCTAAAATTCTATACCTAGCTAAACTATAACTTAGGTGAAGGCAAAGACATTTTTATAAATGTAACTACTCAAAAAATTATCAACCATGAGTTATCTCTGAAAAAATTAGTAAAGAATGTACTCCCAAATAATGAAAAATGAACTCAAGAAGAAGACACAGGAATAGAAAAAAGGGAGGAATGGACAAAGAAACTAGACAAAATTACAGATGCTCCTTGACTTATGATGAAGTTACATCCCAATAAACCTATTGTAAGTTGATAACATTTTCAACTTACAATGGGTTTATCCTGATGTAACCTCTTAGGTCGAAGAGCATACTGAATGGGTATGCTTTGACACCATCGTAAAGTTGACAAATCATAAATCAAACCATCATAAGTAGGGGACTTATTAAGTTATTATATACTTATAATTGTTAATTAATAATTTAACAATTATTAAGTTAAATCTTAATAATTTAACAATTATTAAGTTAAATCTTAATAATTTAACAATTATTAAGTTAAATCTTAATAATTTAACAATTATTAAGTTAAATCTTAATAATTTAACAATTATTAAGTTAAATCTTAATAATTGGAGGTAAGGAAAGAGAATAACCACCAGAAATGAAAATCCAGATGATCTCAGCATAAAATAGCAGCAGAAAAAGAGTAAGCTGGTAAATGAAGGTATGCAAAAGTTTGTCTCATGATTGAGTTAAATGCTGGATCACTCTAGACATAGAGAGAAAAATATACTTAAAAGGTATATTATAAAAGATATAAGAATAATCATTATGAAGTAGAAATAGATTGTGTAACTTCCAAGCAACTAGAAAAACTAAATGTAACAAAAACAAAATAAAACTTCGATGATTGAATAAAAGACAAAGAACAGGAGAAAATAAGCAACAAAAAACACAAAATCTATAAAACCATATGATAGGAAATCCAAAATTCACTCCTTGTAAACTTACCTGGAATATTGAGAACAATGAAAACAGGCCTTAGAAAGAAGTTTTATTTTAGAATAAGCCATCTTAGATGGAGGGACCCATTGGACCTATAACTTTTGTTGCAGGAAGGGATAAACCTAAGCCTGTCCAAAGCATCTGTCTCCGGCACTTGAAAAGCCAAATTACTGCTTTATATATTTACACATCCTTTCTCATGGGAACCCATAATATATTATGCTTGTGAAAGCTCTTAAGATCATGCTGCTTGCCAAAGAATCATCATAGGAAACCTATGCTACTTCAGAGTTTACATACATAGACAAATACACACATATATACATACAATACACATATATATTCATATATATAAATACACATTTTAAAAAACAGCTTTATTCAGATATAATTTATATGTCACTATATTTACATCATACAATTCAATGGCTTCTAATATATTTTAAGAGTGCAACCATCAGCATAATCTAATTGTAAAATATTTCATTACCCCAAAAAGGAATCTTATACCCATTAGCAGTCAAGTCCCACTTCCAAACTCTCCTCTCCCATCCTCCAGTCTCTAGCAACCACTAATCTACTTTCTGTCTTCACAGATTTGACTCTTCTGTGCATTTCATATAAATGGTATCACGCAATATGTGGTCTTCTGTGGCTAGCTTTTTCCACTTAGCATGAATGAAAGTTTATGCTTTTAAGGCTCATCCATCTTAATCTATCATGTATCTGTACTTCTTTCCTTTTATGGCCAAATAATAATTCATTTTGCTTATTGTGTAAATATACATATATATTATTGTGTGTGTAAATACATATATATATTAAATCTCTATTAATATCTTTTAGAATCATAGTTATAGATTTGGAAGTGGCCTGAGAGGTTATCTATATGCTAGTTCAACCCTTTCATTTATGTATAAGGAACAGCTTAGACAAGTGAGGCATCTTGCCTAAGGCCAAAAGTCAGTGGTTGATGGATTCCAGAATCCCAGACTGATCCCAGTCTGATTCCTTTCTGACTCAGATTCCTTTCTGAGTCAACTGCACTGTTTACTCTTCTAAGGAAAGAAAATAGTTTAAAACCTTTAAGGATATTTTGATGCAGGGAAGGGGACATGGGATGTCTAGTTTCCTGACAGAAAGTGATTGGTTTTTCTTACAGTGAAAGATGTGTTTAATCATTTTAATATGAGCTTCTACCCGGGGAACAACTTCCACACTAGAGACAATCCCCGCCCAAATTCACAGAACTACTGCAGTCCTTGCACAGGAAACATTTGGATTTCATCTAATTTAAATAAATATGTGGTGATATTTTTTCTTTAAGCATCCACAGGCATTCAGAGAGCTACATATGAATATTTGGGCATTATTTCATAAAGCAAATGTTATAGAAAGAAAGAAATTTTCATTTCTTAGGAAGTGACTGGAATAAAAATATGAAACTGAAAAAATGAAATAACAACAACAAAATGTTATCTAAAATGAAAGCAAAGCTGTTGGCAGTTATATATTGTGTGACTTTAATAGTCTGCTTCCCTGCTGGAATCTGACTAGCAATTCCATTTAACCATCTGAGTAATGATTTGTCTTAAAATTTTGCACCTTTTCTATAGGTTTTTGTGTCTTCATAAATGTAGCACTGTGTTTTAAAAAGATAGTGGCATTCTTTGGATATTTTGCTTTTCAAATACAAAGAATGGTGTTGTACACTTTTATACCACTACCCACCATAAATAAATATACCACACCACTATCTTTTTGCTAAGTACATGGTTGATTAATCACTATAGATTAAAGTAATCCCAAATCTAAAAACAATAGTTTTAAAGGCTAGTAGAAAGTGTATCTATAATTTATTGTTGTCTTAACAGTTTAATTTATAAATGAAAGAGTAATTGCAAAATTTTACCTCAAAAAAAAAAAACAAAACCATTTTTGGGATGTGTTCTTTCAATGAGAACAGCACCACCATCTGGAATGCAATAGTTTGTGCAATGAAAGAATTTACATGGTTTTCATTTTGTTTTGTCTTAGGCAACGGGGAAGTAATTTGTCTCTTCCCGAAAGGTTTTACAGGTAAAAATAATGCAAAATTAATATTTTGTTACCAAGTTAAAAATAACTATATTCCTCCTCTCTGACAAGGGATTTCTGTAGTTTGTGTCCGACAGAAATCAATTGATTTTAATGGCATCGGCCACTCATATGATTTTTTTATAGTTCATGTTATTATAAAATTTACATTTCAACAGGGATTTTCTTGGCTATGCATTTTCTCCACAACTAAAAAAAAAAACACATTTTCTTTTCTTTAACCTGAGGTTAAATAAGTTTGATCTGATTTCTTACTTTTTTTCAAAAGTAGTGATTAATCAGAGTATATAATTAAAAAAAGGAAGCAATCCTCTAAAAATTGAAAAATTCATACAACAGTTTTAAGCACTATACAAGCATGCAGAATTATTCTTATCATTATTATATAAATTCAAGGGAACTCTAATAGTGTGGCATATATACACACGTGAATGAAATATAGTTCTGTATAGTCGTTTTACTCAACAGTAAATAAAATTATGCAAGACTTAAGCTCTTCTAAAATTTAAAATACTGTATAATGTTTGTTAAAATCCCTGCTATTCTCATGAATGGAACAAAGCAATTTATTCAAGAGCCAAAAATCACATCCAACACTCTAAACAATCATTTTCTTGTATTAGGACATTTTAGTCAATTGCTTTATTGCTATTGTTTTTCACAAATGAGCCTTAAAACTCAACTCTCCAATGTTCCATTCAGTTGCCAAAATCAATCTCACCCTGCACTGAGCCATGTGCATCCTCTAAAGTGGAGCCAAGAACAATTGTGTTTCCTGAAAAACAAAGGCAAAGATTCTCCACTATGTCAAATGAACACTACAGATAGACATTCTTTCCGATCTATTCCTAATGTCACTTTTGTATTTCAGTTCTCTAGTCTGTGAATATGTTACCATTCAGCTTATTTGATTATGCTTTCTCCTTTACCACTACCATTCTAAAGATACTTAACCTAGTGGCTAACACTGAGCATTTACAGTATACCAGCACTGCAATAGGTGGCTCACATGCATTCATTCATTCTCATGATCATCCTAGGAAGTACGCACTATTACTTTCCCCACTTTTACAGATGAGGAGGCTGAGGTCCAGAGAATTTAAATAAATTTGCCCAAGGTCACACAGCTAATAAGAGGCATACCATGGGTTCCAACACAGATAGTCTGATTTCCTTACCTTAATTTTATGCATCCATCATCAATAGGATATTGGTTTAATAACTTATGATACATCCAGAGAAAAAATACCATTAAAAGTGCAGATGTAGGTCTATATGTATTAATATGAAAATGACCAGATTTATTTTAAGTAAAAAATCAGGTTGCAAAATGCTATGATTTTAAGATCCTGTTTTGTACAAATATTTGTGAGTTGGGTACAGAAAAAAGCCTGAAATGATATATATTGTTAAATGCTAATTGTATTTATCAACAAATAATAAGATTCCAAGTGGGTTTCACTTTCTTTTTGTGAATTTCTGCATTTTATTATTTTAAAAATGATTAGGCATTACTTTTATAGCACTTTTAAAAATGCTACTTTCATTGGGAAAACCAGAAAAGAAATAGACCTTGAAAAATGAGTATGACAACATCCCCTTTTTCTCCCTGTCATTTAGGTCTGTCAGAAATGTTTGTATATATTTGGTGACACCTTTCTAAATATTAGGGAATGCAGAGCTAGGGGGAAAATCTATTTTTATTACAAGTAAATACTTGACATGAGAACTTAACATCTCAAGGTTAATTTAAATATATTAATCCTAGGGATTTTTTTCCCACTAAGATTCAGCAGAAAAGTGTTTATAATCTTCTTAATCATCAGATTTTTTTAAAGATTGCTGACTGGAGCAATGATATTTTTGAACAGTGCCATAAATAGGCTTATGAACTACATGATACAAGGTAAGTCTCTCCTTCAAAGACTTAGCTTCTCCACTCAACAAACAACTATTATGCACCGACTCTGTGCCAGGCACAGACATTACTAAATACATGAAACAAGAGTCTCTACCCTTGAAAGGTTTAAGTTCTAGCAAAAAGTAGACAGCCAAGTAAACACACAGCATGGTTAACTCTGATAAGTGCTTGTATTAGTTAATTTTCACACTGCTATAAAGAAATACCTGAGACTAGGTAATTTTTAAAAGAAAGAGGTTTAATTAATTCACAGTGCTGCATGGCTGGGGAGGCCTCAGGAAATTTACAATCATGGCAGAAGGTGAAGAGGAAGCAGGAAACTTCTTCACAGGGCAGCAGGAGAGAGAGCAGGGAAAAACTGCCAAAGACTTTAAAACTATCAGATCTCATGAGAACTCACTCACTGTCACAAAAACAGCATGGGGGAAACCACCCCCAAGATCCAATCACCTCCCAACAGATCCCTCCCTCGACACATGGGGATTACAATTCGAGATGAGATTTGGGTGGGGGCACAGAGCCAAACCACATCAGCGCTAAATTAATAGTAAAGAAAATCATAGGGTACAAAGAAAGTCTACCTAGTAAGCAAGTCAAAAAAGGCTTCATAGTGGGGTAGCTCTAGACCTGGGCCTGGAGAGATAAAAATTTGTCTTCAGAAAGGAAGAGGGAATGACAAAATATAAGTAGCATTTCAAGGCATAATGAGAGTCAGATGAAAATAACACAATGGTTGGAGTGCTCAAAGAGGCTTTTTTAACTTACAAAAGTAGTATATCCTCATTGTAACAAATGAAACAATACAAAGCATTTAATTAAACAATATAAGGCATTCATTACCTCCCCCCACCCCCTTCCTCCATGCCCACTTCCCCAAGGAACAGCTGAACAGCCTGGTTAAATGATGTAAAAAATATTTTGCTAACATTTCTCATTACTTTATGGCTAAATTGGCTTTTATTAGCTGGTTTGGAGCTTAACTATATTTCCTTCCACACTTTCTCCATCAAACACAGAACACCCACAAGGGTTTTATTTGCTTACTTTTCATTTGCTTCACTTTGGTAAATATGGAATCATTCTACTCACATTATTCAGCAACTTTCTTTTTTTTTTTAATTTAGCCATCTACCCAAAGATATCTCTCTTGCTCAATGAATATAGATCTGATACATTTTTAAATAACTGCATAATATTGCATATAGTGGAATTCATTCGATCATTTCCCTATTGTAGAACATTCAGTTTGTTTTTATTCCTTTTTTCCCTCCCAATACAAACAATGCTTTAATGACCACTTTCTTGTGTGTATCCTGAATTTTGTGTGTGTTTATTTTTATGGGACAGACTTCTAAGTAAGTATTTGTTGAGTCAATTACTATGTGGACTTTAAATCTTAATAGACAATGTTAATTTTATTTCAAAAAGCTCCTAGTAATTCATACACCAGTAATGCATGACAGCATGTATTTCAGTCAGATTTATTTTTTAAATATATCTATCTTTCTCTTTAGACAGTGAATCCCTTGAAAGCTTCTCTGACATTAAATGCCATCACTTTTTAAAGGCTTTGCTAATCTGATGGCTGAAAGATGATACAATTTAAATTTTCCCGGATATCTGGGAAATTAAATAACATTTCTTATGTTTGTTGGACTTTTTGAGTTCCTGTTCTGTCAATTTTCTCTTCATATACTTTGCCCATCTTCCTATCAGATTTTTTATTTGTCTTACTATTTTGTAGAAGCCCTTTATTTCTCAAATGTAATATAAATATTTTTTCCAGTCTATAATTTTTATTTTTATTTTGTTTCATTTTCATGTAGTCAAGTGTGTCTGTCTTTCTTTTTATGACCTTTGAGCTCCTCTTGAATTTTTTTATTCTTAATTTTTCTTAGAGTTTACACTTTCCATCCATCTAGATTTTTAAATGTTGTCTGAGGATAATATATAACCTTGATTTATTCTAAAGGCATATCCCATTACGCCAACATCATGTATTAAATATCCCACCCTTTCCCACTAAATTGGAATGTCACCTTTTCTATGAATCTATTTCTGAACTCTGTTCTATTCCTGTGTTCTATTTACCTATTCCTGTGTCAATATCATACTTTTTATTGCTGTGGCTTTTATGGCTTAACAGGATGGCAGCAGGGTTAAGCATGTGGGCTCTCAAAACTGAAAGTCTGGGTTTAGTTCAGATGCCATCGACTTTGTAATAATCTTGTGCCCATTACCTCAATGTCTTCATCTATAAAAAGGGGATAATAACAGTACCTAACCCACAGGGTTGTTATGAATATTAAATAACTAATTCCAATAAAGTGTTCAGAATAGTGCCTGGCTCAGGGGAAGTTGTCTGCCAATCAGTGTTAGTTGCAATTATTATAACTGGTAGGGCATGTCACCTTTCACAATTCTTCTTATGCACACTCTCCTTCTTTCTTCTCTGGTTTTGTTTTTTCTGTCCAGTTTTCCCACAAAATTCTTGGGATTTCTATTCATGTATGCATAGAGTATGTATCTGGAAGAGATTACAACAGACTTGTAACCATGGTTTCCTTAATGGAGGGGAAAGGGTTGGAACTTCACACAACTGAATTTTTTCACATGTGTATGCATAACATTTTAAAAAATCTCTTCTGAGTTTTCTTTTTTATAATACCTTAGTATTCTGATTTGAATTGCATTCATATATATTTGTATGTATTCTAAACTGGCTTTGTTTCCGTAAGAATCTGAGTGCTATTGAGCACTTAAAGGTAGGTAGAATGCCTGAGGAATGAAAAACTTCATGAGGAAGGAACATCTGGGCTAGATCTTGAAGGATTAATGGATGTTTTTCTGACATAAGAGAGATGTGAGGAGATTCCAGAGTTTGAGAATGGCCTTGCCTAAAGACACAGAGATATGAACAAGGACTGCATGTGAGTGGCAGAGCCCGGGGGCTGGGAACGTGGGGGGGAAGGATCAAGTTCTGGGATGTAAGACACAATGTGATCGGATGGGAAATGTGCTCGCTTTTTGTCTTCCCCCAGGGAATTTCAGGTTTGGAAAAAAAATAAGGCAGAGGGAAAGGCAGAGCCAAGATAGCCAAGACAACACTAAACTGTAATTTCTGTGAAGACAAGGACCACGCCTGTTTCGTTCGGCACTCTATCGTGATTCCTAGGACAGGGCATACGAGGGCCCCAACAAGTATTTGTGGAATGAATGCATGAAAAGTGCATCCAAAACAACAGTGACTGTTTTGAGTAGGAAATGAAGGCAAATGATAATGTTGAATATGTTACCAAAAAAATTAATAGCACATTTAAATAAATAGCAAAAACATCATCACAGAGCAACCTCCTGCAATACTGATGATAAATATGTAATGAATGTTGACTGATTCAATGAAGGCATATGAGATGGGCCTGAGAGAACATTAGATAAACTACTTTTTTGAAGGAAACACTTACTCTCCCTTCCAAGTTCCTACTTGAAAACTAATATTTGACAATGAGTTAAAACTGTGTAACTACAATAATTGAAATGGGATGGAAAAGCAAAATTGAGGAACTTTAGACAGTGACTAAAGATGCAGAACTAAAGCCGGACATAGTGGGCCATTCTTGTAATCCCAGCAACTTGAGAGGCTGAGGTAGGAGGATCATTTCAGCCCAGGAGTTTGAGATAGGTCTGAGCAACAAAGCAAGACCCCACCCCTACAAAAATAAAAGAATTAGCTGAGTGTGGTGGTGCACGCCTCTAGCCCTAGCTACTCAGGGGGTTGAGGCAGGAGGATCACTTGAGCCAAGAAGGGAGAGGTTGCAGTGAGCTATGATCACGCCACTGCACTCCAGCCTGGGCAACAGAAAAAGACTCTCCATCTCTTTAAACAACAACAACAACAACAACAATAACAAACAGAATTAGCCAGAGTGAGATCTGTGGAGCAGCTACTTCATGGCATATTGTCACCAATGCCAGAATGGAGATAACAGGTCAATGACATGAAGAGATTGCTTAGTGTGGTGGAAACAGCTCTGACTTGGAGTCAGGACTTGGGCTCCAGCCCCAGCTTTCACACTCACTAGGCAGCCCCGTTCTCAGTTCCTCCATCTGTAAATGATCTCTAAGTTCCCAGCCGATTCTGATATTCTGTGATTCTACATCATGAAAAATTAAAAAAAAAAAAGGAGAGGAGAAGTTCACAGCCTGGCAACTTAGGGCTAGAATATCATCCATCGGCCATTGCAGCCATTTTAAGAAAGCAACATCCTTTAATCAACAAATATGTATCTGTCTTGTAAGGCAGCATGCGCTGTCCAAATGATAGAAAATAAATAAAACATAATCCCACTCTCAAGGCATTTTCAGTGTAGCAGAAGAAAGGAAAATAAATATCTAGAAATAAATAAAATTCAAGCAGAGTGTGGCAAGCACTATGAAAGAAACACAAACGAAATGTTACTGAGCATTTGAGCGCCGGCAGATGAGGCTCTCACTCCAATGCAGGGCAGTGTGTGAGAGGTAAGAGCCCTGTAGAAAAAAGGCCAATGGAAGTCATCTTGCCATCCTTTCTGCAGCTATGGCCACTCAATTTGCAGGCAGTACTGACTATGGCTATATCTATTCAGGATTCTAGTTTGACCATATCCTATTTATGATCTGTGGAGCTAAGTTTATTCCCAGAGCTGCAGCTGCTTTCCACATAGACAGTTCCCAGTCAACAAACAAGTGAACTCCAGAAATTTATTCATTAATTAGGTGTTAGATATGCAGAACCCACACATGATTTTTTTATTGATGATGAAGTCTCCAAACCAGCCAATAAAAGCCAATTTAGCCATAAAGTAATGAGAAATGTTAGCAAAATAATTTTTACATCATTTAACCAGATACATTTAATATTGTACAAAATGCTATTTTGAATTTCAGAAGCAAGAACACATAATTTCAGAGCACAACAGGGTTCCCCAAAAGTGGCTCCAAAGGAGACTGTTTTAGTTATCTACCCCAAAACACGGTGACCCAAAACAACCATGTTGTTATATCTCATGATATTGTGGGTGAGAGGTTTGGGCAGATTTGAAGTGTTTCCTCTTAAAGTTCCTACTTGAAAACTTTTACTTGAAAATGAGCTTTGTAAATAATCTAGGCTATAATAATGGAGATGGGTTGGAAAAGCAACATTTTTTAGGAGTTTTGGATGATTCTTCTCTTCCTCATGGTGTAAGTGGGGGTCACTCAAGTAAGCAGTGGGCAGACGATGGGTTTGAAGGTTCCAAGGTGGCTCATTTGCATGTCTGGCACCTTGACAGGGACGCCTGGAAGGCTGGGCTCAGCTGAGACTGTCACCAAAGCACCTACATGTGGTCTTTCCCGCACAGCAGTCACAGGGTGGTAGGACTTCCCATATAACCACTGGAAGCGGGAGTTTAT
This sequence comes from Homo sapiens, assembly GCF_000001405.40. Lineage (NCBI taxonomy): Eukaryota > Metazoa > Chordata > Mammalia > Primates > Hominidae > Homo > Homo sapiens. The sequence goes on along the minus strand of NC_000012.12, from coordinate 46,145,981 downwards.
GGAGGCTCGGGCTTCTGAGAGACAAGGCAGAAGCTGCATGGCCTTCTGTGATGTAGTCTTGGAAGTCACACAGCACCATTTATACAATACTCTGTTAGTGGAGGAGTCACAAATCTCCCCAGACTCAAGGGAGGGAACATAAAGCCTTATTTAAAACTACCAAAGGGATAGAATCCATTGAAGGATAGAGACACATATACCAGAGCACAAGAGCTTGCTTATTCTAAGTATTTTAACGCCTAAGAAAGGGGTCTCTATAGATGTTTGATTGTAGGAGAATGACAGTAAGCTTGACAAGGCAGGAGATTTCTGAACCCTTCTACTACTTATTTACTTATATGTGCTGATTGTGGGTAAAATGAGTTAGGAGAAAACTTGGCTTCAGATCTCTTTTTTATTTTAAACCGTATACCTACATTACCTACATCTAAATGTACAGTAGCAGATTCCTTTAAGTACCCCTGAAAATTTGAAAATAATACTACCTAATTTTCAAATGAGGAGTAATTAGGCAATCACATGACTGAATTAATATTTCAGTTTATGTTTTCTTTGTATTTGGCAAAACAAAGCTGGTTTTTTTTGTGTATGCAGATTTATGTTTTCTTTCCCTTTGGTACTCTTTTATTACCTTGAAAAAGAAGACTCATACTGTATATTTGTGGAAAAAATATTTTTAAACTTGGAACCTTAGTCCTTTCCTTTTTTTATTTTGCTCCTATCGGTCTGTTAAGTGATTTAATTCTTATACTTATCACTGGACTGAATCCAAAGTACTGGGCCTGGCCTGGGAAATTGCTTTCATGATTGAAGAGGTATAAGTTATTGTATAAAATAAGCAACCTACAAAAAGGAAGAAGTAATTTTTTTACATACCAAAGAGGAGTTCTGACTTCGTATCAGAGGCGGGGCAGAGAATGGTCCCCTTTAAGAATGTCACCATCATTATCCCCCGTTGCTTTCTACAGGCAATGACATGTGACCATCAGGACAATGCATCCTTGGCGATATCTATTCAGGATTCTAGTTTGAAAGAGAACTGACACAACTAGCAACTCACGGATCTGGTAGGAAAGACACCTAAGCAGATGTGGAATGGACTGAAACAAGAAAGCTAACAAAATCAAGGATTTCATTCAGGCTTAAGAGTTCTTCCCAGTGTGAGAGTGGTGGTCTCATTAATATTCATGCCAAATCTTGATTGTACTAAGCTCCCACCACTTATAAGGACACTCAAACTGCCACGGGAGTTCCCAGGGAGGGTCTTGCACACATTTAAGAATCAGTCTGAGTCACCATTTACACTGGTCTCTATGACACCATTTCTTTCTATGTTTTCAAGGGACTTCAGACAACATTCAAAGGTGCAAAACTAGATAGAGTGATACTATGGAGAAGGTATGTCATGGTATAGTGCTGCCTCTGCTGGCTTCTGACAACCTAAGCCATGCAGTACTGCTGGCCGCTGTCACTCCAACCTCTGCATGGTCCCCACTGAGGCACAAATTGCTGCTCACTGACCTGGCTGCTGATACTAAACATGCTTACTGTGGTCTGAAACCACTGCCATTTCTTGCAAAGTGAAGACAAGGCACTTAATTCTCTGCTGTAGGTTATTTAGAGGGTTCCATTTGAGCAGGTGGCTTAAACTTCAAAATTAGAGGAATTGTCATTCACACACAGAAATCCAGGAGTGCTAGAAAAGATCAAATGAGTTTACAGCCTGCAGCCACACTATTTAAAACAACTTCTCTCCATATCTCAGTCCTTTTGCTGAATTTGGCTCATCATACCAGATTCTACCTACTTGCAGCATGGCTTCTATCATGTCCCCTAACACACGCCAAAAGTAGCACATGCACACCCCAAATATGTTTGAATATGTCCACATCCAATTTTTATTTTTTATTTTTTGAGACGGAGTTTCACTCTTGTTGCCCAGGCTGGAGATCTCAGCTCACTGCAACCTCTGCCTCCCAGGTTCAAGTGATTCTCCTGTCTCAGCCTCCTGAGTAGCTGGGATTACAGGCACCTGCCACCACGCCCAGCTAATTTTTGTATTTTTAGTAGAGGCGGGGTTTCACCATGTTGGCCAGACTGGTCTCGAACTCCTGACCTCAGGTGATCCGCCTGCCTCCGCCTCCCAACGTGCTGGGATTACAGGTGTGAGCCACCGCACCCAGCAATCCACATAGAATTTTAAGCACACTTCTGAGTTCTTCTCCACTCTTTGTATGAATAAATTCTTAAGAAGAGAATTTTTTAAATAGTTTAAATGTAGCTAAGCCTCATAGGCCATTGTGGCACACATCTGTAGCTCCTGCTACTCAGGAGGCTGAAGCAGGAGAAACTCTGGAGCCCAGGAGTTTGAGTCCAACCTGGGCAACATAACAAGACCCTGTATCTATTATAGCCAAACCCCAATTTCATTCCTCCTAAGCTGACTACTCTGTCCCCATCATTACCCTTACTATTCAGCATTGTAATTCCTACTTCATTTGTCTATTTCCACCTCTAGACTGTGAGCTGCTCCAAGGGAGGGGACTTAGCCAGGTCTCTCTGTCTCCAGAACCATCTTATATTCCTAGTACCCAGCATGGTCCCAGGCATATTGGCAGAGGTCCATAAAATATTTGTTCAATAACTGGCAAAGAAGAATGCAGGTAGTACTTGCCATGGGCCCTGGGTAAGACTCTGAGATGTGCTGGCCTCAGGTGTAACCCAGCACATTCCCAGCTGTGGCTGCTTTGGGGAGAAACTCCTTCTGCTTAGGAAAAGCAGAAGGAAGAGTAAAGGGGACTTTGTCATGCAGCTTAGATACCAGCTCAGCCACGGTCGGGTAAAGCACCAAGCAGGCTCTTGGAGTCCCTGATTCCCAGCCTTGGCTGTTGGATGGCATTTCTGGCCTTTCCCAGGGCCAGAAGGGTGCCCAATGTGCTAAAGAAAGAGACACATGCCTGGAAACATTCACCACAAGCTGAGTGAAGAGCCCTTGGGCCTTGAGTGAACATTGGTGCTACCTGCCATAGTCCTGGGGCAGTGGTGGCTGTGGGGAGAGAGTTCTCTACTTATGGAGAGGGGAGGGAAGACTGGGAAGGACTTTGTCTTGTGGCTTGGGTGCCAGCTCAGCAGCAGTGGAATACAGCACCAGGCAGATTCCTAAAGAAATTCAAGATAACACAGAGAAGGAATTAGGAATTCTATCAGATTAATTTTAAAAAGAGATTGAAATAATTAAAAAGAATTAAGCAGAAATTCTTGAGCTGAAAAATTGCAGTTGACATACAGAAGAATGCATCAGAGTTTATTAACAGTAGAATTAATGAAGCAGAGGAACAATGAGTGAGCTTGAAGACAGGCTATTTGAAAATACACAGTCAGAGGAATCGAAAGGAAAAAGAATAAAAAAGAATGAAGTATGTCTACAAGATCTAAAATATAGCCTCAAAAGGGCAAATCTAAGAGACACTGGCCTTAAGGAGGAGGTAGAGAAAGAGATAGGGGTAGAAAGGTTATTCAAAGGGATAACCTTTGATAAGAGAACTTCCCAAATCTAATTAATATCCAGGTACAAGAAGATTATAGAACACAAAGCAGATTTAACCCAAGGAAGACTACCTCAAGACATTTAACAATCAAACTCCCAAAGGTCAAGAATAAAGAAAGGATCCTAAAATGAGTGAGAGAAAAGAAACAAGTAACATACAAAAGACCTCCAAAACATCTGGCAGCAGACTTTTCAGTGGAAACCTTACAGGCCAGGAGAGAGTGGCATGATATATTGAAAGTGCTGAAGGAAAAAATAAACTTCTACCCTAGAATAGCATATCTGGCAAAAATATCCTTCAAACATGAAGAAGAAATAAAGATGTTCCCAGACAAATAAAGGTTGAGTTATTTCATCAACATCAGATCTATCCAACAAGAAATACTAAAGCAAGTTCTTCAATCTGAAAGAAAAGAACGTTAATGAACAGTCAAATTATCTGAAGGCACAGAACTCAATGTAATAATAAGTACTCAGAAAAACACAGAATATCATCACATTCTAATTGTGGTATGTAAACTACTCATATCTTGAGTGGAAAGACAAAAAATGAACCAATAAAAAATAATAACTACACAACTTTTCAAGACATAGACAGTACAATAATATATAAATAGAAACAACAAAAGTTAAAAAGCAGAGTAATAAAGTGTAGAAATTTTATTAGTTTTTTTGCTTGTTTGTTTATGCAATCAGTGTTATCATCTGTTTAAAATAATAAGTTATAAGATATTATTTCCAAGCTCCCTGGTAACCTCAAATCAAAAAACATAAAACAGATAAACAAAAAAATAAAAAGCAGGAAATCAAAACATACCACCAGAGAAAGGAAGACAGGAAGAAAAGAAGGAAGAGAAGGCCAGAAATCAGCCAGAAAATAAATAACAAAATGGCAGGAATAAGTCCTAACTTATCAATAATATAATGTAATTATAATGAAAATGGACTAAAATCTCCAATTAAAAGTTATAGACTGGCTGAATGGGTTAAAAAAAACAACTCCTAATGATCTGTTGCATACAAAAAATGCACTTCATATATATAATCTGGAAATAAAGGGATGAAGAAAAGATAGTCCATGCAAATGGAAACCAAAAAAAAAAGAGCAGGAGTAGCTATGCTTGTATCACACAAAATAGATTTCAAGACAAAAACTGAAGAAACAGACAAAGAAGGTTATTATATAATGATGAAGGTATCAATGTAGCAAGAGTATATAAAATTGTAAGTATATATACACTCAACATTGAAGCACCTAGATATATAAAGCAAATATTATTAGAGTTAAACAGAGAGATAATCTTCGATACAATACTAGCTGGAGACTTTAACACCCCACTTTCAGCATTGGACAGATCATCCAGACAGAAAATCAACAAACATTGGACTTTATGTGTGCTATAGACCAAATGGACCTAATAGATATTAACAGAATATTTTATCCAAGGGCTGCAGAATACACATTTTTCTCCTGAGCACCTAGATCATTCTCAAGGATAGACCATATGTTGGGTCACAAAACAAGTCTTAAAACATTCAAAAAACCTTGATATAATATCAGGCATCTTCTTTGATTACAATGGAATAAAACTAGAAATCAATAACAAGAGAAATTCTGGAAACTATACAAACACATGGAAATTAAACAATATGATCTTTATTACCACTGGGTCAATTAAGAAATTAGGAAAGAAATTGAAGGACAAAAACCATATGATCTTTTCAGTTGATGCTGAAAAATCATTTGATAAAATTCAACATCCCTTCATGTAAAATTCCTCAAAAAACTGTGTATAGAAGTAATATACCTCAACATAATAAAAGCCATATATTACAGACCCACAGTAGTATCACACTGCATGGGGAAAAGCTGAAAGCCCTTCCTCTAAGATCTGGAACAAGACAAAAATACCCACTCTCACCATTGTTATTCAACATAGTACTGGAAGTCCTGGCTAGGGCAATCAGACAAGAGAAAGAAGTAAAGGGCATCAAAATTTGAAGGTAGAAGTTAAATTATCTTTGTTTGCAGAGGATATGATCTTATATTTCAAAAAACCTAAATACTCCACCAAAAAACTGTTAGACCTGAATCAGTAAAGTTGCAGGATACAAAGTCAACATACAAAAATCAGTAGCATTTCTATATGCCAACAATGAACAATCTGAAAAATAAATCAAGAAAGTAATCCCATTTTCAATGCTACAAATAAATTCAAATAACAGGAATGAACATAGAAGTGAAAGATCTCTGCAATTAAAACTGTAAAACACTGATGATAGAAAGTGAAGAGGACACCAAAAAATGGAAACATATTCCACGTTCATGGATTGGAAGAATCAATATTGTTAAAATGTTCATACTAACCAAAGCAATCTACAGATTCAATGCAATCCCTGTTAAAATACTAATGACATTGTTCACAGAAATAGAAAAAAAATCTTAAAATGTATATGAAATCACAAAAGACCCAGAATAGCCAAAGCTATCATGAGCAAAAAGAACAAAATTGGAGTAATCACATTACTTGACTTCAAATTATACTACAGAGGTATTGTAATCAAGACAGCATGGTACTGGCATAAAAACAGACATGGAACAGAATACAGAACCTAGAAACAAATCCACACATTTACAGTGAACTCATTTTCAACAAAGGTGCCAAGAACATACATTGGAGAAAAGACAGTCTCTTTAATAAACGGTGTTGGGAAAACTGGATATCCATATGCAGAAGAATGAAACTAGACCCCTATCTCTTGCCATATACAAAAATCAAACCCCAATAGATGAAAGACTTAAATCTAAGACATCAAACTGTAAACTACCAAAAGAAGACATTGGGAAAACTCTCCAGGACATTGGTCTGGGCAAAGATTTGTTTAGTAATACACCACAAGCACAGGCAACCAAAGTAAAAATGGACAGATGGGATTGCATCAAGCTAAAAAGTTTCTGCATCGCAAAGGAAACAATCAACAAAGTAAAGAGACAGCCCACAGAATGGGAGAAAATATTTGCAAACTATCCGTCTGGCAAGGGATTAATAACCAGAATCCATAAGGAGCTCAAACAACTCTAAAGAAACAAAATATAATAATCCAATTATAAAATGGGCAAAAGATCTGAACAGACATTTCTCAAAAGAAGACATACAATGGCAAACAGGTATATGAAAAAGTGTTCAACGTCATTGATCATGAGAGAAATGCAAATCAAAACCAAAATGAGGTATCATCTCACCCCATTTAAAATGGCTTTTATCTAAAAGACAGCAAATAACAAATGCTGTCAAAGATGTGGAGAAAAGGGAACCCTTGTACACCATTGGTGGGAATGTAAAATAGCACAACCACTATGGAAAACAGTTTAGAGTGTCCTCAAAAAACTAAAAGTAGAGCTACTATATGATCCAGCAATTCCACTGCTAGGTATATACTCAAAAGAAAGAAACTTGGTACATCAGACAGATATCTGCACTCTCATGTTTACTGCAGCACTATTCACCATAGCCAAGATTTGGAAGCAACCTAAGTGTCCACCAACAGATGAACTGGTAAAGGAAATATGGTACACACACAATGGAGTACTATTCAGCCGTAAAAAAGAATGAGATCCTGTCATTTGCAACAACATAGATGAAACTGGAGATCATTATGTTAAGTGAAATAAGCCAGGCACAGAAAGACAAACTTCATATATTCTCACTTATTTGTGGGAGCTAAAAATTAAAGCAATTGAACACATAAATATAGAAAGGAGAATGATGATTACCAGAGCTGATAAGGATAATGGGGGAATGGGAAGTGGGGATGGTTAATGTGTACAAAAAAGTAGATAGAATGAATATGATCTAGTATTTGATAGCAGAACAGAGTGACTATAGTCAACGATAATTTATTATACATTTTACCATAAATAAAAGGGTAGAATTGGACTCTTTGGAACAGAAAGAAAGGATAAATGCTTGAGGTGATGGATACCCCATTTACCCTGATATAATCGTTACACATTGTGTGCCTGTATCAAAATACCTCATGTACCACATAAATACATATACTTACTATATACCCACAAAAGTTAAAAATTAAAAACTTTATTTAATAAAATTGTAGGTTTTCAATAGTCTGTCATCTTTGTATTGTCTGTGAAATGTCAATGTTCTAGTCAGAGCCCTTCCTACAAATGATTTTTCAAGTGAAGAAGACAGAGAGTCAAAGGAGGGTTAAGTTTAAAAAAGTAGAGTGTTCAAGGAGTCTGGAGAAGAAAGAGCATTACAGTGTGAGGAGACATCTGTGATTGTTGACTATAAGTGACCAACATGCAACTTTAATGCAAGTCATATGCAAACCAGAGTCTATTATTCCCAGTAAACAGCCTATTTAGGTGCTTTCTGTAACAGGACTGTTTCAGCATAACAGCCTTAGTAATCATAGTCTCTGCCAAAACTGTGGCCAATGTAATACTTTTTCAGTGGGACCTGGGGAATGATACATTATTTAAAATGAAGTCCATCAAACAAGCGAAAGACAAAATGCATTGATTTAAGTGATGTGTGGACTGGAGCCTGTGAACAGGGCAGGCAGTTCACACCAAAGCTGAGGTGCCCTGGTACTGTTGATTTGGGGGCCACACACGCAGGGTAACAAGCCTCCTCACAATGGTGTGACAGTGTTTCCTCACCCGAGTGCACACAGAGATGGGAGCACAGCAGTGACTACCCTGTCCCTGGCCTCCTGCTGGATTTGCCAACAATGGTAACACTTGGTACCAGCTGGAAGGCCCTGAGATGCTGAGAAGGGACCACCGCATTTCCTGTGGATGGGAAAATAATCTGCAGATGTCATTGGCCAATCACCACCAACCTAGACTGGATTTCAACATAATCTAGAGACCCCCTAAATCAGCCTTTCAAAGAGTGATACTTCTTACATAACGGCCATTCTTTGAACAGCATGTTTATTAAACAAATCTAATGTAAAGATCTGTTTCTCATTTGGCCTGATTGGACCTTCAGGAAAAGCCAGAGGATACATAAAGGCCTGAAATTATCTTAGGGCCCAAAAGAAAATACTCAACCTGCTTTGTACAAGGGATAATGTATCATAATTACAATTAAGAAAAATTTTAGACGATGCATTCTTTTAAACATTTCCACATGAAACTGGAAAATGAAGACAAAACTTTATTATGCTGTGGCTTGACAAAGAAAGAGTGGTTCTGTGTCTCTGCAGGGCTGCTGGATTAACAACCCCAACAGAACTGATGTCAATGCTTGTAAGCAGCTACCCAATTCAGCTAAACACTAAGTCATTTCAATCAAATGCTTTATCTGATTATCTCTTTTCAATGAATTAACTGATTGCTTGATGAAAATGCTCAAAAGGGTCTGATATTTTACTCTTGGGAGATATAAGAGTCTTTATTAACAGTTTTTTTTAACTGCTTGGCATATCTTTAAGGTATGTCTTTAGATAAAATATACTACCATGACCACCACCACTTCTCATAAAAGAATTCAAAAACTTTGCCACAATTTTACAATTGTTCAATTCAACAGCATTATGGAGCTAAATGCCTGGCACTGTAGGATCAACATCTGATTTAAGTAAATGATAAGAAAGGGAATTAAAATAAAATATATTGCAGGGAAAACCATTCCCTTCCACAATTCAACATTTTTTATAGTGACACATAAAATAGAAGCTTTTGCCTTTTCTGGGTGTTGGAAAGAAGAGCTTTTTCTTTCCCTCCCATCCCTGTCATCATACCTGCCCAAGAGAAATGAAATGACCTACTCAATTAATGAACTGGGATTATGAGGCATGAACTGGGGGTACAGAGCACAGCCTCTGTGGGGTGCAGGGCACAGCCTCTGTCTCTCTGTATCTTTCAGTCCCTGTCATTCAGAATGGCCTGAACCAGAACAAACACATTCTCTGCTCCAACATGCAGGAAGTGGCCTTCCCCTGGGAGGGAGATTCAGCATGCGAAGGTCCAGCCCTGCCAGTGTCCACATGGGTGAACTCTGTTCAGGGACAAGAAATCAGGAAGCTTGTCTAGCCACAGATAGATGTTGTGATGTCTAATCACGTTTATTAGTAACTGAGATATTGATCTTCTATCTTTCAGTTTATTCCCAACTCAGAAGGGTGAGGGCATTATTTATTGCCTCTCCCAGAGAATCTAACACATTTATACTCTAATGGTCTATTTGACCATTTAATATGTTGTTTCCTCATTTGACTTTCTAAATTTGGCACATTAATCCTGAATACAGGAATAGGAAAACCTTGTATGTCTATCTACAAATAGTGACATGTTGGTAAACATTCAGTAACCACCTTTCTGGAACGAAAAGGCCATAGTCTATAGTACTTGATTACTTCTGTGATGTGAATACTCCTACTATGGCCAATTGCAAGCAGCCAATGTGAAGTCATTGAATACAATGTGAGAAAGAGAGCCATACAACACATTCCTCACAAGTGTGAAAGTTGTCTAAATCAAAATGGAGTCACTTGTGTCAAGCCCTGACAAATGGAGCTGAGGAGGGCCATGAAGGGAGGGTTCTCCTGCACATATGCTTGAAAACAAGAACTATCATAAAAGACTCTGAAAAAACCACAACCCTGCACAAAGGCCACTGCAAACTCACACACACACACACACACACACACACACACACACACACACACTATATATATATATATATATATATATTTCTGTGAGGACATCTGCCTAGCAACTGCCTGTCCAACCTTGGACTGACACCACCCTTGTTAGTACTGATTCTTGTAGCCAAGAACAATTGATTTAAAACAGTTTTGTAGTCCTCCTCATTTTTCCTTTCTTGTCTTCCTTACCTCCCAGAATACACACATAGTTTACTATGGCACATGTATTCTCATTACAATGCCCATTCCCAAATAAATATCATTTTATTTTAGAGAGACTCCTTTTCTGTTTGATAATAAGTTTGACACAAGCTAATACTAACCAGCTATGGCACACCACTATCTATAAAGTATGCTGAATTTGTTATTTCTTGAAAATTAAATTTCAAGAATTATTGTGTGTCTTGGTCAGTTTTCTGCTGCTACAAAAGAATAATATAGACTGGGTAATTTATAAAAAACAGAAATTTATTTCCTAACATTTCTGGAGGCTGGGAAGGCCAAGATCAAGGTGCCAGCACCTGGTGAGCACCTTCTTGCTGCATTTTCACATGGCAGAAGATAGAAGAGCAAGAAAGGACAAATGTTGTGCCCTCACATGGCAGAAAAGCAGAAGGGAGAGAACTCACTCCCACAAGCCCATTTTATAATGGCATTAATCCATCCATGAGGGCAGAACCCTCATGATGTAAACACCTCCCATGAGGCCCCATCTCCCAACACTGTTGCATTGGGGATTAAGTTTTCAACACATGAATTTAAGGGACACATTCAGACCATAGCATTGTGCCACTTTTATAAACAATCTACCATTTCATCATCTATTGAAACTAATAAGTGAATATCACACTTATTATCCAGCTATCCTTTAAAGAATCACTCACTTCCAGTTCAAATACCATCATTAGTTGAATCACATTTCCCTTATTCCCCACATTTTTTATTTCTGCTTTCTCTCTTTCTTCTACAAATCAGACGGTTAGCCTGTCAGTAGTAGCAGCAGAAACTATCTTGTGAAAGACTGTGCATGGCAGCTTGAGAGTTGTTGATAACAATGTTCAGTAAAAATAAAAGTTGAAATACATTGAGAGGCATTCATACCTGTGAAATCTCCTAACTATGAACTCCTGAAGTTTGGAGAGAGTATGGAGTATTGGAAAGAATGCACTTGTAAGTGAGACAGAGCTGGATTTGAATCTGTGCCGCCCTGGAAAGCAGTGGTTAGCAGCAAACCTGGAATACAGTCTCTCCCTTCACTGAGAAAATGCCCCTGGGAGAGAAAGAAGGAATGAAGAAGGAAAATAGCCTGGTCAAATTTCCTTGTAAACATGTCATAGCAGACCTCCAGGCAAACACACTAATACTACTTGTAGTGGGAGAGTTCTTATCTATGGAATGCTTTCAGCAGAATGAACTTGTTTAGGATTGATTGCTAGGGTAATCAAATCTGGAATTTATGGATTCATGAAATTTGTCTCCCTAAACAATGTCATTAATCTATGTAAGAATCTATGTAAGAACAATGTCATTAATCTATGTCATTAATCTATGTAAGAATAAAACATGTAAGACATGTTTCATGAAAGAAACAGCTGTCTTCTGTGCAAATGATAGGACTGCATACATCACTAAGAGATCCTGTTTGTTAATCAGGGCCAGAAGTAATCCTAACATAGCAAGAAATGACCAGGAAAGCTTTGTTGGTGATCCTAGACTTCTGCTTTATCTGTGCCTTGAAGTTGTGTATCCTTGAAACTATAGTCATGCATCACTTAACGTCAGGGATACAGTCTAAGGAATGTGTTGTTAGGCAATTTCATTGTTGTGCAAACATCATAGAGTGCACTTACACAAACCTAGCTGGTTTCGCCTACTTACTACATACCTAGAATATATGGTACAGCCTATTGCTCCTAGACTACAAACTGGTACAGTATGAAACTATACTGAATACTGTAGGCAATTATAACACCATGGTTAAGCATTTGTGTACCTAAACATATCTAAACATAGAAAAGGTACTGTAAAAACACAGTGTCCTAATCTTAGGGGGCCACCGACATATGTGCGGTTGGACATTGACTGAACTGTCATTAGGCAATGCATGGCTATATTAGTAAACCTTGCTACTGTGTAAGATCTCTGATCCATGTGAGGCTGATTTGATCATCTGATCCTTTCTGTTATCCAATGCCCTTAGCAAATTAGTTAATATTTTGGTCATCAGTCCTCTCATCTGTAAAATGGGAAAAGTTATGGTTATCTCTCATAATTGTTGAAAAGAATAAACCAGATAAGATACAGAAAGCACCTAATGCACAGCAAAGGACAATAACCGTCATTTATATTCTCTACCTCTGACCCTCCACTAATGAAATGACATTTTCAACTTTATATGCGGAGCCACCAGTATTTATTTACTTTATTAATAAAGTATCTTGAGAGAGAGAGAGAGAGAAAGGTGCCAATTACACAAATGAGTGGAACAATGTCAACTCTCTTTGACAAAGAGATTACAAAAACTCAGTGGAGTGCCAATTATAAACATTCTTTTTTTCTCTAAAGAAAAAACCCTGAATCATACCAACAAGTTTTAAGACTTTTTAAAATTATTAAAGTGGATTTAAAATTATTAAAGTGGATTTCTGGATTAAAACTTTATCTAGCATAACTAAAATTTTCTAATGACAAAGATGGTTTAGTAAAAGTCAAATAAACTTTTTTCCCCTAAGCATTTATTCAAGTATTTATTAAGCACCTACTACATGTCAGGTATGTGCAAGACTCTGAGAATACAGAAATAAACAGAACGACATGGTCCCTGCCCTTTTATGTGGCACTTACAGCCTGGTAGAGAAACCATCTTTAAAAAAGTATCACACAAATAAATCTGTTACTACAAATCCTACTTAGTCCTGAAACAAGAAAGTATAGACAGTACAAGAGAGAAAAATAAGTGGACTGTTTTAGATTGGGGGCTCAGACAAAGTGGCCTTTAATCCAAGAAGGTAGTGTGGCACAGTGGGGAAGTCCTGAATTGGGGTTCAGAAGCTCTCCAATCACATCCTGGCTCTGCAACTTGCAAACTATGTGCTCCTGGACAAATGGCTTAAGTTATTTAAGCCTCAGCCTTCTTCTCTTTAAAATGGTAATAACAGCACTTGGTTCACAGAAGGTTGTTATAAGGTTTAAGGAAATAATATATGCAAAGAATGTATAAGACTGTACATGTTATTTCCCAAGGTCTCCCCTAGTCCTTGTCAGCCTAAAAAACATCAGATAAAAATATATTCTAATTTAATGAGTTTATTGGGGTGTAAGCAAAGAGGGTCGTAGTCCAGAATGCACAGCTATAGAAAGCCACAGATGCTTTCGAAGAGGTGGGGATAAGGGAAGCTTTTATTGGCAAAAAGAAGTTTAAGCATCTTGGAAAGAGAGCTCATTGGTTCCAGAGGCTCAAAGCCAGACTTGGCATCAGTTCACTGGAGGGGATGCCGATACTGGGCAAAGTGTTCTTTTAAGAGCATCTTATCTGAACTGCTGCAGTTCTAAACAATGTCTAGTGATAAACCTGGTCATAGAAATACATGCATATGTACAAAATGTAGATCATGAAAAGCATGAGATGTGTGAGAGATGAGAAGGAATTTCTCACGGAATTATTTTAGAAAGTGCTTAATACAGTTTGATCTCTGACACACAAACACAGGCCCTCCTCCTTCATGCTTTCCTGACTTGAACTTGTTTGGTTCTGACAAAAGTGACTTTATCCTGGTGTCTGCAACTTTCACACCCTCTAGTGTCCTCAAGTGGTTTCTTGGATGGCCCTAAGCCCTATTAATGCAGCCCGTCATACCTGCCTCCAGGGGCAGCTCAATATATTTTGGTCATTTCCTAAGCCCCTCCTCTACCACTAAAATTCACAGTCTCTTATCCATCCCTTTACTCCCCAGTCTTCATGTATCTGAATCAACTTGAAGTAGATAAACTGATGTCAAAAAGGAGATGTGTCAGAATCCCAAATAATATAAGTGCTTTGCAAAGGGGATATTCCAAACATGCCTTTGCTCCTCCTTTGCTTTACGCCATGATTGTGAGACCTCCCCAGCCATGTGAAACTGTGAGTCCATTAAACCTCTTTTTCTTTATAAATTACCCAGTCTCTGGTGTGTCTTTATTAACAGTGTGAGAACAGACTAATACACTGACTCAATCTCCTCTACTCTACTAAACACAGTGCCACCAGGGTTATTCTTTCTGTGACACAGCTCCAAACACCTCACATCATCCTTGGCTCAAGAACCTTTAGAGACTCTTTTCCTGCTCCCATTCTATACTCCTTAAGCTGAAAGAACACCCCTTGACAGCACCCCCATCCACACCACCGGATTGGGAAGTTGTTAGGACCAAAGAATACAATATATTCTCACATGTTCCCCCTTCCTCCACAGAGATTACAGAAAAATTCTTTGCCTAAAAATTTGTTGAGACCCCAAAAGGAGAGAAAGAAATTTACTTTGGGGGAGAAGAGGGAAGGGATAAGGCAGTATTTTTTAATCTTCATTTTTCAATTGACACTTTTACTGAGACAATTGTAGATTCACACATAGTTGTAGAAATAATACAAAGAGATCCCTGTACATTTTGTCCAGTTTTCACCAATGGTAATATTTTAGAAACTATAGTAAACTATCCTAAGCAGTATATTGACATTGATACAACCCGCCTATCTTATTCTGATTTCCCAAGTCTTACATTTTTACTTTTATTCATTTGCATTTGTGTTTTTATGTTTGTGTGTATTAAGTTCAATGTGATTTTATCAACTGTGTAGGTCTGTGTATCCACCACCACAGTCAAGATAATGTGACAACACTACAACGACCTCTCATGTTGTTTTTTCATAGCCACATCCATCTCCCTTATTCTCTCCCCCATCTCTAAGATCTGGCAATCACTAATCTGTTGTCCATTCATAAATTTGCCTTATATAATATATATTATGTTATATTATATAAGTGGATCACACGACATGTAACCTTTAGAATTGATTTTTTATTTCATCTGCATAATTCCCCAGAGATTAATCCAAATTGCTGCATGTATCCATAGCTTGATCCTTATTATTGCTGAGTAGTATTCTACAATATGTATGTACAGCAATTTTTTTAACTGGTCTTCTGTTGAAGGACATCTGAGCTCATTCCAGTTTTTTGCTATTATGAATAAAGCTGCTATGAATAATTGTGTACATATTTTTTATTTTCATTTCTCTGAGATAAATGCCTAAAAGTGCAGTTGCTAGATTGAATGGTAGTTTCATGCTTAGTTTTTTAAGAAACTGCCAATTTATTTTCCAGAGTGTACCATTAACATTTTCACCAGCAATGTATGAGTGACCCATGCATTTACTTTTAGACCTCCTTGCAGTTCTTGTTTAGCCAAGACATACTATCAAAAAGTAGATGACTCTTCAGTCTCCATCACTCATGAAGGTTCCCATCAAAGCCTGAAAGCAGGAGGATGAACAAAAGAAAACTGCTACTCTTTTTAATAATAATAATAGCTGACATTTATTGAGTAGTTACTGTATGCCAGGCACTGTGCCAAAGACTTCCTATGTTCAAATTCATTTGTTATTCATAATAGCCCTGGCCCCCGTCTCTACTAAAAATACAAAAATTAGCTGGGCATGGTGGTGCGTGCCTGTAGTCCCAGCTACTCAGGAGGCTGAGGCAGGAGAATTGCTTGAACCCAGAGGTTGCAGTGAGCCAAGATCACACCACTGCACTCCAGCCTGGACAACATAGCAAGACTCTGTCTCAAAAAGTAAAAGCAAAAATAGCCCTAAGGGTAGGTCCTATTATCATCCCTAATTTATATATTAGGAAGCCAAGGCTTAAAAAATAGAAGTACCTTGTTCTTGGCTACAGATTGTAAGTGGCAAAGCTAGGATTTGAACCTAGGGGGCTGTGCTTTCTACTACCAGATTATTCTGCCTCCTGTGTAATAATGGAAGGAACATCTCTGTGTTTGCTCAAGCAGCTGTGCAGGTTATAGTCAGGACAGTGTTTCTCTTTTTAAATATAAGTGTAGATTTTTACCATCTCTGGGAATTAATGTATAACATTGCAATGTGCGTGTGTGTGTGTGTGATTCAATAGGTATACAATGATCTTCCCTCAAGCCTGGTCATAGCTCCAGCTGATGTCTATTTCTATCTGGTCCTCATGTGTAACTTGGAGGGGACAAGAACATATACTAAATAGTATAGGAAGAAGATAAAGAAGAATTTATTCATAATATCTCAAATTAAGTAGAAGGTCTTGGTAAACACTTCCCCTGTTAAGCATGAGCAAGAGGAAAATAAATGATACAATGATTACACAAATATATTCTAGCAAAAAACAAAAGCGGAGAACAGATAAGAACAAGCATATAAAAGACAAATAAAGGGCCCAGTCTGGAAGAAAATATAACTCCACAGTTAGAAAAAACTCCTGCCAGCATTTCACAGTATAGAAAAACGTAATAAGCTCTCAAAAGCAAAATGATAAAACAAGAGGTAAAATGGGAAACAGCTGAGCTGAGACTACAAATTGAGGACCAAAACAACACCATGAGAGAACTAATAAATTGGGCAGAGCAAGAATAAAATAGGCTGAAAATGGAATTGCAGCAGTGACAGAGAGGGAAGATTTGATATTGTTATTGCAAATTAAGAAAAAAAGAGAAAAAATTTTTACAAGTAGAGAGGAATCGATGTGAAAGAGAGATAAAGATGATTTCACCCAGGGATAATTGATGTCTCTGAAGTAGAGAACCAAAAAAATGAAACAGAGAAAAATATTTTTTAAAAAAAGTTTCCCACATATTAATGAACTAAGCACTTCGGAGTTGAAAGAAAAGTATATAAAATAAAAATAAAACAAATCTTTCAGGAAAAACTGATGTGGAGTAATTAAAACAGATAACAGCTTGGTTAGGTTAATGACCTTTGGTGTTATAAGAATGGCATTAGGTTAATGATCTATAAGAGGTAGAAGAATGGAGGTAGAAAAACAAGTCACCTACATGGGAGAAAAAAATTAGGCTAGCTTAGACTTCTCTACAACAGTCAGTGCCAGAAGATAATGGAGCTGTGTCTACAGAATTCTGAGTAAAAGAAAGTGTGACTGAAGAATACCCAGACAGGTATATACCCAAAGGATTATAAATCATTCTACTATAAAGACACTTGCACATGTATGTTTATTGAAGTACTATTCACAATAGCAAAGACTTGGAACCAACCCAAATGCCCATCAATGATAGGCTGGATAAAGAAAATGTGGCACATACACACTATGCAGCCATAAAAAAGAATGAGTTCATGTCCTTTGCAGGGACATGGATGAAGCTGAAAACCATCATTCTCAGCAAACTAACACAGGAACAGAAAACCAAACACCGCATGTTCTCACTCATAAGTGGGAGAACAATGAGAACACATGGACACAGGGAGGGGAACATCACACACCAGGGCCTGTCAGGCGGGAGGTTGGGGGCAAGGGGAGGGAGAGCATTAGGACAAATACCTAATACATGCAGGGCTTAAAACCTAGACGACAGTTGATGGGTACAGCAAACCACCATGGCACATGTATACCTATGTAACAAAGCTGCACGTTCTGCACATGTATCCCAGAACTTAAAGTATTAAAAAAAAAAAAAAAAGAAAGAATACCCCGACAGGCTGGGTGCAGTGGTTCACACGTGTAATCCCAGCTCTTTGGGAGGATGAGGCAGAAGGATTTCTTGAGGCCAGAAGTCTGAGACCAGCAAGACCTCATCTCTGCAAAAAATTAGCCAGGCATGGTGGTGCATGCCTGTGGTCCCAGCTGCTTGGAACACTGAGGTGTGAGAATCGCTGAGCCCAGGAGTTCAAGGCTGCGGTGAGCTATGATCACGCCATAGCACTCCAGCCAGGACGAGAGCAAAACCCTGTCTTTAAAAATATTATCTACACAGTCTTGTTTGAGGATAAAAGCAATAAGCACACATGCTGAAGCATAAAAGGCCTTAGCAGATATAGCCCTTCTAGGGAAAAACTACAAGAGATTATATCAAGCTACACAAGGAATGAATGGACATGATAGGGTAAAAGCACTGGGATTATACTCAGTATTCAAAGAAAACAGTGTGTGTAGTGAGTAGTTCAGGAATTAGACCTCTGGAGCTTGAATCATGGCTCTGCTAATTCTCATTTTGAGCTTTAGACAAATTATTTAACCTTCCTTGTTCCCTTACTGGTAAGATGAGGATGATGATGTTTGGGTATCAGATGAAATAACCTATGTGAAGTTCTTAGCATTATATCCAGCATTAGATACTACTATTATAATAAAACAGTAAAATTTATTAAAAAATAATGGCTTCAATTTTTAAAGACTTTTTTATAATCTTTTGTCTTTTAATCTTGAGAACTAATATCTCTGCTGTAAAGAAATTTTTTAAAGACTGAAATCATTGGAAAGTTGGACAAGAAACTGGTATCGCTGATAACTCTGGGAAAGGAAAGCGGGTAGTTGGAAGACAGAATGGGATGGAGAATTTTCACTGGCTTTTCACCAACATATAGCTTTTGAAATTTGTCCTATGTGAATATATTACACATTTTTTAAACAACTAAAATTAAGAAACATTTACGTAAGTTTCCATAACTCCTCATTTTTAATCATGGTTTCTTTTTCTTCTTTGAAAATTCAAGTATAATTAAATTTAATACTTTAATGTAAAATTAGCATGAACAGTATGGTCTCATTTTTGCAAAATTATTCTTAGCCAGCCAGCCCTCCATCTGTATATATGCAAGAAAGAGGTCTGAAATTATTTCCTACGTGGTGAAATTTAGACTATTTTTAAAATTCATATTTTTCAGAATTGCTTGAATTTTTAAATAATAAATATTTGCCTTTTTAAAAAGTCATTGTTCTAAATAAATAAAAATTGTTATCTATTGGTTGCTAAGAAAAAACAAGGAGCTTGCCTGTACCACACAAGGGACTGGGCTCTGAATGTCGAAGTCCACCCTGGAGGGTCTGGTTAAAGTTCTGGTTGTAGAATTCTGTGCCTTAACTTCTGCTTTGGTAAATGTGCTGCCAAGAGGTTATGTCCCGTGGTGTGTCTTGTTGATTCTTTAAGTGGGAGGCTGATGCCTGATCTAGCCTCCTGCCAAACTGGACTAACTGCCCTTTCATAAGGACAGTTCCTTTTTGTGTTCCTGGTGTTCCAATCACCTAGAGTGCCCTCATTCTCCCTGACCCCTCAATTATATCTTTCTTCTAAAGCCATGTCAGGACCATGTCTTCCATGTACCTTTTTCTAACCTGTATACATGATTTCCCTCTTTGAAATCCCATAGCACATTTTTACAGCTGTCTTATGGCCATTCAATCATGTAACAAGTGTTTATTGAACATACGCCTTATATTTGTTTGTATATATGCCTTACTCTCTCTGCCTTAGAACAATTACCTGAGGGCAGGAAGTATGTCATGCTCATTTGGTATTTCTACAGCACCCAGCATAATACCTTTTAAAGAACAACAGTCAAAAAATGTTTGTTGCATAATTAAAGAAATGAACAATAAGTATTTGTTGGATTGAACTGATTACTTGTTTTTGCACATTTTCGGAAGCTTAGAAGCCTTTTTGTGTTGAAAGCTAAGCGGTTCACATGCCTTCAGAATTATTCTGAGTTTGTCTAAAGTGCAAACATTTCCCCTTTCTCTCAAAACACTGGCATGGATAAAAATCCTTGGAAAGGTACAAGGTCAAAATGGCTGAATAATAGAGTAGTGATTTTTATTTCTGCTTCATTCTGAGGAGGTGCGGTAATACTGAAAGCTGACATAACAAAGACAATTTCTCCCTAGTCCTCTGATCCCTAATGTTCAATATCGGCTCAGAGACAGCTTTCCAAAATGAGTTCACATTACTCAGAGTTTTCGTCTTTTAATGGGGCTGTTTAATCACAAAAAGCTACATTCGACCTATATTACTGAAAATCTAAATAAAGCTAATATGGTACATATAATGGCATATTGACGATGAGATAATGTGTATGGAATTTAAAATAAAGGCACTACAAATACAAAATAGTGTGTAGAATTAAAGCAACATCTTTGAGATAGTGAGGATTAGATATGGAAACTGTTCCTCTGTAATCTAGTTAGAGCTGTCTTTCCAAAACAGGGTGTGTTGAAAAGCCTCTCTCTCTCTCCCTCTTTCTCCTCTCCTCCCCTCCCCTCTTCTCCCCTCCCCTCCCCTCCCCTCCTCTCCTCTCCTCTCTCTCCTCTCCTCTCTCTCTCTCTCTCTCTCTCTCTCTCGCTCTCTCGCTCTCTCGCTCGCTCTCTCTCGCTCTCTCTTCTCTCCTTTCCCCTGAACCCATGAAGAGTGAGCAAAGAGTAATGTGCTGCCATCTACTGACGGCTGCATTAAAGAGCAGCTCAGGACACATTAAACAATTTTTTAAAATAAAACTGTTGAAAACCTCAGAATACGTGTTTAGCTCAACTTATTTTAAACGTAGTGATTGGCACCTACAAGATTCTTAACTTTCTGGGGGATAATCATCGTGAAAATTGGTGTAATTGAAGAAGAAAATCAATGGATATGTGTAAATAACCATACAAATTTAAAGATTAGAAAGTTTAACTTCAGGCTTCAGTGGAGGACCGAACAGCTGACTCATTCCATTAAAAAAAAAAGGAACAAGAGAACACAAGCACTTCCATACTAAGGTAAGCTAGTGCTTCTGTCAGTCCAATGTTACGCACAGTGAACACTGTAAACTGAGGAGGTCAGGGATCTGATATTTTATATTCGGCAATGTATTTCTAGTGTTGTATGCCATCCCTACCACATCGTAGGTACTCTATAAATACTACTTGAATTAATAATCAAGTAGGGATTCTTTCTATTTCTTTTCAGTTTTGTGTGTTTGAGCTCCAAGGAGTGCACCAGAATCCTAGCATCTCAAGAGTCAGTACACATGACCCCGTGGTTCGTATTTTGTTTTGTTTTGACATTTCTGGTGAAAGATTAACTTGAGTCTGAATCACTAAGATAACTCCTCAATATTCCAGTTCAGTCAACATTATTTGTCAATTAAGTTTTTTGTACATTGTAAATTGAAGTGTAAAACTTGACTCTGCCCTGAAATTAACTTTCAATGTGTCACTCAGAGACAAAATCAAGAAAAAAAGTTGGAGACGATCCTGTGCCTAATTAGAAGGATTAGAAAGGGCTTTGAAAACAATTAGCTTAGACTTTCTAACTAAAGCAAAGTTATTTAGTTTAGGGAGGCCCTTTCCTTTTTTTAGTCCTTTAAAACTAGACTCATATAGCCAAAGTTTATCCTCCAATAATCATCTGTTTACACTGGCAGAAGCCCCAACAGATTATGGCCTGGATGGTCTGTAACCCATCTACTCTGCTCAGGGGCCCTCAGCTCTAAACTGTGTATAGATTAAGATCTGCATAGACATGGGGCACAGAATTTGATACCTGGAGCCGCGGCAGTTTTTCTGGGAACTTTGTATCCAACCATCCAATTTAATGCACTTCAAAATGTATGGGTAAGAAAACAGCTCCTGCCTCAGAAGAGAAGGGCATTTAACAAGGGGCAAAAGATGAAGTGAACAAATTATTATGTTATTTGATTCAAAGGAGGAGGAGGCCACATCTGTTGGAGGGACCGTAACCAATGTTATGAAGTAGATAGAATTGGAATGGGTCTTTAAAGATAAGTAGAATTTTACACTTTGGGTTTTAGGCGGGGAAAAAATCATAAATGACATTTAGAAGACATTTTTGAACATTATATGTATAGATTTGGCTACTATGAGCCTAATCTTCACCTCCAAAAAGTGGCAACTAAATTGGAATGGCAACATCATGTGCTGGCTCTGAAATCAGGTGCCTGGGTTGAGTTACATTTTTGTTGTGTGTTGGGCAAGTTATTTAGTAGCCCGGGTCCTCAATTACCTTTTCTGTACAGTGAGAACAATAGAAAGGCCTATCTCATAGGTTGTTTTGAGGACTAAATGAAAGAATTCATGTGCTTTGGTCAGTGCCTGGAATATAGTAAATGCTCAATAAATATTATCTATTAAATTTGGTGAGTTTGTACTTAGTTTACTAAACAATGGGGAGCTATTCAAGGTTTCTGAGTAGAAAAGCTATATGTCTGAAGCTGAAACTCAGAGTAATCCATTTGTCAATGAGGCTTATGATGAATTAAAGAAAGTTGAAGGGGATGCAATTAAGGATACCAAGTAGGGGGATTATACAACTGTCCAGGGGAGAAGTAATGAGGGTCACAATTATAGGTAAAGTGGTAAAAGAGAAAAAGGAGGAGGAGGAGGAGAAAAGAAGGGATAATTCTGAAAAACTTCGAGATAAATAATTGATAGGTATGCCGGTGAAGTGAAAGGGGTAGGGAGGAGTCAAAGGCAACTCTAAGCTTTTAAACCTGGGTCCTAGAAAATCTTTAGTGAGGAACAGGAGATATGCGAAAAAACTGATTCAGGGGAAAGTTATCCAGGTGGAGATCCCAACAGATAGTCATAACTTTAAATATGGACCTCAGAAGACAAGTCAAACCTAGATTAAGTGAAGCCTTGGGTAGAGATGAAATCATGGAAGATGTGAAGGTTGCCCAGGTCAAACCATCTAACTCAAAATTTCTTCTTCTTTCCACCTATGGATATTACATGAGTTCATATGCGTTGGTGGAAAGAGAAAGGGGCTTGTATATTTTAAAAAGTGAGGCTCACCTCCTGATTTCCCCATCTAGCCAAGTGTCACTTTAGGAATCAGCTGCCTTGTCTGAAAAATAGAAATAGTGCTAATCTGTTCCTTGCAGAGTTATTCTGAGTATCAAATGAAGTCCCAGTCTCTTTATGGCTAGTTCAACAGTGATCATCTGCAGGTGCAGGATGAAATTTCTCTCCCCGAAGGTCTCCAAGGCTCCGGGCTTGTTCCCGCATCCAGTATTCCTATATCCACCAAACACTTGAACTTACCACTGAACACACTTGAACTCGCCACTGAACACTTGAACTCATCTCTCCCAAACCTTCCAGGCTTGGTCAAATTCTCCAGGCTGCTGCACAAGCTTCTCCTGACTAACTCCAAATTCCCTGTCCGTGGCCCTCTTCTGCCCCACTTCCTCTCCCACAGAAATTTAGATGCTTTCAACTGGGCATGAGAAAAGTGAAGAAAAACAGAAATACAAGGAGAAAGTGATCCAGGAAAAAGTTATTCTTTCAACTCCTTCACTCATTGTGTCCCTTTTCATTTTGTCTTTCATAAAAATTCTCATCCCAGAATCATATTTAATCTGTTTATTAGTCCCATAATTACGTAGTCCCTGCCAGTTAACATTCACCCCAATACAGAGTTAGCATCCCCACACCATACACACACCCACAGGCACATGTAACAATGTTATTTTGCATGTAGAGGAAAGAGCCATTATTGATCTCAGAACAGATTTTCTCCACTCTTTGTCCATAGGAGGAAAAAGACCCTAATGTTCGTAATGTAAGTCGTAAGTCCATTGGTTCATTCTCCCCTTCCCCCATCTTACACAACAAATTCTAAGCAGGAAGTTTTAAAATCTGTTTAATTTCACCTTGAGTGGGTCCCAGGACCTCCATAAACTATATTATTTCTACATATAAAACAGCTCAGTAGGTGCCTTCAAGTTTACAATAAATTGCTACAGACTTGGGGTGTCTTTTAGTTTCCAGGAAAGCCAGAATGCTCCCTTCTGTACTCTCTCAGCATGGTGACCTGCAATTTCAGAATCTTTTGCAGCCTGTATTTTGGTTTCTCTGCCCATTCATTAGTTGGACAAATGTCTGTTATCACCTGAAGCATTTATGTTCCAAGCCTAAAATCAGTCTTCTCCCACTCAGCATCTCTTTGTTCTCTGGAAAGCAGCTTGGACTTACTAAAGAATTTTCAAGAAAAAGCACATTCTAGTATACCTAGTACAGAGGAATCCTGGATTTTTACTCCAGACTTCAACATCAGCATCAGGTCTAGTAGCCTTGACAAATATCTTGCATCATGTCATAATAAATAGCATGTATTATTAGGTGCCTGTTATAGATTCTGTAGTGCATTTTGTGATGTGGAAGATTCAGAAGTAAAAATAAGGACTACATGTGTTTTGAACATGACTTTATATACAGCACTGGGTTACAGAAGGTGTGGCACAGAAAAGATAATAAAAATGAGTGAATGGGACCTCTGAGCAACCTAATGCATTAGGAGCTATAGAGAATGACATAAGTTAACTCACAGTTAAGGGATCCCTTAGATGGTGGTGCAGGTATAAGGGACACAGGAATTCAAAGAAGTGAGATAGACTGGTCATTACGGGTGAACGATGCACACAGTCTCTAAGGATAAGTACTATTGGAGGAAGCACAAGAGAGAGGACTGGAATTTCAGATATCAGAAGAAGATCATAATTGGAGGCCAAAAAGTAAGTCAGTAAGAGCTAGTTAGAAGCCAGACAGACGTTACAGAGTAAAAAATAAGGTTGGATAATAAGTGGGACCAGATAATAATGGATATTAAAAGATAGAAGAATCGTTAGCGGGTCATGTGCCAAAGTTTGCTTCTTAGTTAGTTGTTTAAAATTCAGAATGGTTTTTTTTGTTGTTGTTGCTTTTGTGGGGTTTTGTTTTTGTTTTTTGTTTTTGTTTTCTTTTGTTTTGTCTTATTAAGACAGTTTCACCTTTGTAACCCAGGCTGGGGTGCAGTGGCACAATCTCGGCTCACTGCAACCTCTGCCTCCTGGGTTCAAGCGATTCTCATGCCTCAGCCTTCTGAGTAGCTGGGATTACAGGCATGTGTCACCACACCCATAGAATGGTTTTTTAAAAATATAAAACAAGGCTACAAATTGTGATCTAATTCATGAGTAGTACTAATATACACATTCCTCTCATCATGAAAGAATGAGATACATAGATTTACAATTAATTATCAAGCATTTCTATTCTTTTTAGAGAATTTTAGTTTTCTAAAATTTGAATTTAGAATTTTCTAAAATCCTCAGAAGAATATTAGAATAAGTTCAGCTAAGCTCCAGGAACAACTCAGCAATCCTTTGTTGTTGTTGTTTTTAGAGATTGGGTCTCGCTCTGTTGCCCAGGCTGAAGTGCAGTGATGCGATCATAGCTCCCTGTAGCCTTGAACTCCTGGCCTCAAGTGATCCTTCCACCTTGGCCTCCCAAAGTGCTGGGATTACAGGTATGGGCCGCTTCACCGGGCCTTTTAACTCATCCTTAGTCTGTTCCTTTTCCTTCAGCCCTCGGTGACCATTTCAAACCTTCATCAGTCACCTCAGGATTTTTGCTTCTGTATCTTATAGCAGATGATGTGAGCCACTACTTACATGTTAAATTTTTAAAAATCAGTGAATTCCTGGCCAGGCACGATGGCTCACGCCTGTAATCCTAGCACTTTGGGAGGCCAATGTGGGCGGATTACTTGAACTCATGAGTTCGAGACCAGCCTAGGCAACACAGTGAGACCTCATCTCTATAAAAAAATACAAAAAAAAAAAAAAAAAAACATTAGCTGGGCGTGGTGATGCATGCCTGTGGTTCCAGCTACTAGGGAGACTGAGGTGGGAGGTTCACTTGAGCCCAGGAGGCTCAGGTTGCAGTGAGCAGAGATCACACCATTGCACTCCAACCATTGCACAGAGTGAGACCCTGTCTCAAAAAATAATAATGATTTTGGGAGGCCAAGGCGGGTGGATCACCTGAGGTCAGGAGTTTGAGACCAGCCTGGCTAACATGACAAAACCCCATCTCTACTAAAAATACAAAAAATTAGCCAGGCATGGTGGCGGGCGCCTGTAATCCCAGCTACTCGGGAGGCTGAGGCAGGAGAATCACTTGAACCTGGGAGGCAGAGGTTGCAGTGAGCCAAGATTGCACCATTGCACTCCAGCCTGGGCGACAAGAGCGAAACTCCGTCTCAAAATAATAATAATAATAATAATAATAATAATAATAAATCAGTGACTTATTTAAATTTCTCAGCCTGCCCTCAAAAATGTATATATTGCCCCTCCTCTAAGTTTCTCCCCTTTTCCTATGTTCTATTCTTGACTTTCCCCCTCCCTGACCACTTTTTTCTTCTCAGTCTGATCATCCTTCCCTCAGGGACTCCTCCATACTCCACAGCTCCAACTATGAATATATCAATACCTCCTTAAATCTATATCATTAGATAACACTTTTTTAAACTTGGCACTGGATTCCTCTTTCCAGCTCCATATAAGAAATTCCACTTGGATATACCACAGAGACCTTAAACTCAAAATGTTCAAAATATTACTCACTATCTGTGGTAGGTAGAATAATGGACCCTCAAAGGTATCCATTTCCTAATTCCTAAAACCTGTGATTATATCAGATTTTATGGTAACAGGGAATTAAGTTTGCAGTTGGATTTAAGCCTCCATCAACTGAATTTAAACTCAAGAGACTATCTGAATTATCTGGGTGCCCAATGTAATCACAAAATTTAAAAGAAAAAAGAAACTCATTCTATACTCACAAACACTGACACCAAATTTGTGGGTCTCCCCCACACTAAGCAATTCTTCAGTTCTCTGAGTGTCAGCTGGGTGTCCTACAATTCAATTCAACTCTGACACTGTCTACTTGGCATTAGCGTCAGATCCCACAAGTGAAGAGCTCAGTCCTATGAGACTGCACTGACTTCAGATGCCAATTTCAAGTATGGGTATCCCATGTTTCTGGCCAATCAGCAGTATATCAGGAGTTCCATGACATCCTCCTTAGGTTCCATAATTCCTTAGGTTTGATAAATGGCTAGAATGGCTCACAGAACTCAGAGAAACATTTACTTATGCTTGGCAAAAGTACAAACTTACATGAGTACGACATTGTATTTTTATTATAATGGATATAATTCAAGAGTAGCCAAATGGAAGAGCTGCACAGGGCAAGGTATGAGAAGAGGCATGGAGTTTCCATGCCCTTTTTGGGCACACACCACCCTCCCAGCACCTCCATGTGTTCGCCAACCTGGAAGCTCTCCAAACTCCTTCCGTTAGAGTTTTTATGGAGGTTCCATTATGTAGACACGATTGATTAACTCGTTGGCTACTGGTGATCGAACCCAATCTCTAACACCTCTGGAGGTGGGGCTCAGGGAGGGGCTGAAAGCTCCAAACCTCGAATCATATGGGTAAGCCCTCTGGCAACCAGCTCCCCATTCTTAGGGACTTTCTAAAAGTCATCTCATTAACATAAACTCATGTGAGATTGTCATAAATAACGGAAAATGCTCCTTTCACCTTTATGGCTCTTATCACTTAGGAAATTCCAAGAGTTTTAGGAGTTCTCTGCTAGGAACAGAAGACCAAATATGTATTTCTCATATCACAATATCACAAGGGTTCTTTAAGGCGGAAAAGGAAAGTAGAAGAGGTCAGTCGGGGTAAATGTCACTAAGGAAGACTGATCTTAGAAATGCAATGTTACTGACTTTGAAGATGGAAATAGCAAGAGGACTTGAGCCAAGGAATGCAGGAGGCCTCTAGAAGATGAAAAAGGCAAAAAAAAAAAAAAAAAAAAAAAAAGATTACCTCTTAGAACCTCCAAAAAGGAACAGCCCTGTTGATACCTTGATTTTAGCCTAGAACAACCCATGTCAGTTTTCTAACATATGCAACTGTAAAATAACAAATTCATGCTGTTTTAAGCCACTAAATCTAATTATATGTTACAGTAGTAATAGAGAATTAATGCAACATCTTTATCCTAAATCTCTGCTTCATAAATTTTGTTTGGAGAGGGTGAAGCTTTGATATTCCACATTAATTTTTTTCTCTCATAAGTTTTTAGAATGTACATAAGTTCACAGAATGTCCAAATGGCATATCTTTACATTGTTAAAATGACATTTTTAAGTAAAAGAAGTGGGGGAAAGTGCAGAAACTTGGTAATATTCTTCATAACAGTCAAGATAACACTTTTCCATGTCTTCTGTTCTGAATGAAATTATGTGCATTTCTATTTGTTTTTACTTAATTTAACACAGTGACTACAGTGGTAGCATTCTTTTAATTAGCTGACAGATTTGTAATGCAAACAATATCACAAGTTTTTCCTAGTGTTTATAAGCACATTCCAGGAAACTGAGATATTTAGTAACATGTTGCCTAAATTGATAACTGCTTATCTAAAATAGATTCCTTCTGATTCCTGGTAGTTTTTTAGTGCATCTTTCCCGTTAAATTATCTTTCTCAGAAAATAGTTTATGTTTCTTTGCATAAAAGACATCTTCTTTTTAAATAATTTTTTTATTTCAATAGCTTTTGGGGTACAAGTGGCTTTTGGTTACATGGATGAATTGTACAGTGATGAAGTCTGAGATTTTAGTGCACCTGTCACCCAAGTAGTGTACATTGTACCCAATATACAGTTTTTTATTCCTTACTCCTTTCCCACTCTCCCCTGTTCTGAGTCTCCAATATCCATTATACCACTCGGCATGCCTTTGAATGCCCATAGGTTAGCTCCCACTTACAATTGAGAACATACAGTGTGTGATATTTCATTCTGGAGTTACTTCACTTAGAATAGTGGCCTCCAGCTCCATCCAAGCTGCTGCAAAAGACATTATTTTGTTCTTTTTATGGCTGAGTAGTATTCCATAGTGTGTGTGTATATATATATATATATATATATATACACATATATATATACGTATATATATACATATATATACGTATATATATGTGTATATATATATATGTATATATATATATATATACCACATTTTCTTGACCCACTCAACAGTGAATTAGCACTTACATTGGTCCTATATCTTTGCAATTGTGAGTTGTCCTGTGATAAACATATGTGTGCATTATATAAAAATATATATAATGGCTTCTTTTCTTTTGGGAAGATACTCCGTAGTGGGATTGCTGGATCGAATGATAAATCTACTTTTGGGTCTTTGAGAAATCTCCATGCTGTTTTCCATTGAGGTTGTACTAATTTACATTCCCTCCAGCAGTGTATGAGTGTTCCCTTTTCACTACATCCATGCCAACACCTTTGTTTTGTTTGTCTGTTTTCTTTTCTTTTCTTTTTTCAACTTTTTAATAATGGCCATTCTGACTGGGGTAGGGTGGAATCTCACTGGTTTTAATTTGCACTTCCGTGGAGATTAGTGATGTTGAGCATGTTTTCTAATCTTTTTTCACCATTTGTATATCTTCTTTTAAGAGGTGTCTGTTCATGTCATTTGCCCACTTTTTGATGGGATGATTTATTTATTTTGCTTGCTGACTTGAGTTCCTTGTACATTCTGGATATTAGTCCTTTGTCAGATGCATAGTTTGCAAATATTTTCTCCCATTCTGTGGGTTGTCTGTTTACTCTGATGATTATTCCTTTTGCTGCACAGAAGCTTTTTAGTTCAATGAGGTCCCCTTTATTTATTTTGTTTTTTGTTGCATTTGCTTTGGGGTTCCTAGTCATAAATTATTTGCCTAGGCCGATGTCCAGAAAAGTTTTTCCTAGGTTTCCTTCAAGAATTTTTATGGTTTTTAGGTCTTAGATTAAAGACCATGTAGGGTCTTAGGGAGATAGGGATCCAGTTTCATTCTTCTACATGTGGCTATTCATTTATCACAGCACCCTTTACTGAATATAGTATTGTTTCCCCAATTTATGTTTTTGAATGCTTTGTCAAAGACCAGTTGGTTTTAAGTATTTGGCTTTATGTCTGGGTTCTCTATTCTGTTCCATTGGGCTATGTATCTACTTTTATATCAGTACCGTGCTATTTTGGTAACTACAGCTTTGTAGTATAACCTGAAGTCAAGTAATGTGATGCCTCCAGATTTGTTCTTCCTTAGGACTGCTTTTGCTGTTCAGGGTCTTTTTTGGTTCTGTATGAATTTTTGGATTTTTTTTTAAATCTGTGAAAAATGATGTTGATATTTTGATAAGAATTGCATTGAATCTATAGGTTGCTTTGGGCAGTATGGTCATTTTCATGATATTGATTCTTCCAATCTATGAGCATGGGATGTATTTTCATTTGTTTGTGTCATGTATTATTTCTTTCAGCAGTTTTGTAGTTTTCCTTGGAGAGATCTTTCACCTCCTTCGGTAAGTATATTCCTATGGTTTTTTTAATAATAGCTATTGTAAAAGGGACTGAGTTCTTGGTTTCATTCTCAGCGTGGTGGTTGTTAGTGTATAGAAATGGTACTGATTTGTGTACACTGATTTGGTAACCTGAGACTTTACTGAATTCAATCAAACCTAGGAGTCTTTTGGAGGAGTCTTTAGGGTTTTCTATGTATACAGTGATATCATGGGCAAACAGAGATAGTTTGATTTCTCTTTTCCAATTTGGATGCCGTTTATTTCTTTATCTTGCCTGATTGCTCTGGCTAGGACTTCCAGTACTATGTTGAATAGAAGTCATGAAAGTGGGCATCCTTGTCTTGTTCCAGTTCTTAGGGGGAATTATTTCAACTTTTCCCTATTCAATGTGATGTTAGCTGTGAATTTGACAAACATGACTTTTATTATTTTGAGGTACCCTTCTATGCATGGTTTGTTGAGTGTTTTTATCATAAAGTAATGCTGGATTTTATTGAATGATTTTTCTGTGTCTATTGAGATAATCATATGGTTATTGTTTTTTTAATTCTGTTTACATGGTGAATCACATTTATTGACCTGCATATGTTGAACCATCCCTGCACTGCTTGGATGAAATGCACTTGATCATGGTGAATTATCTTTTTGATATGTTGTTCGATTAGGTTGATAGTATTTTGTTGAAGATTTTTACATCTATATTCATCAGGGATATCAGTCTGTAGTTTTCTTTTTTTATTTTTTATTTTTATTTTTTTTTTGGTTATGTCCTTTCCTGGCTTTGGTATCAGGATGATATTGGCTTTACAAAATGAGTTAGGAAGGATTCTCTTTTTCTCAATTTTTTGGAATAATTTCAGTAGGACTGGTATCAATTCTACTGTGAATGTCTGGTAGAATTCAGCTGTGAATCCATGTGGCCCTGGGCTTTATTTGCTGTTGTTGGCAATTTCTTTTGTCACTGTTTCAATCTCACTGCTTGTTACTGGTCTGTTCAGGATTTCTATTTCTTCTTGATTCAAGCTGGGAGGGTTGTATGTTTCCAGGAATATATTCATTTCCTCTAGATTTTCTATTTTGTGTGCATAGAGGTGTTCATAGTTGTCTTGAATGATCTTTTGTATTTCTGTGGTGTCCGTTGCAATGTTTCTACTTTCATTTCTAATTGAGCTTATTTAAATCCTCACTCCTCTTTTCTTAGTTAATTTAGCTAATGGTCTATTGATTTTATTTTTTCTAAAAACAAACTTTTTGTTTCACAGATCTTTTGTATTTTTTGCTCCAATTTCATTTAGTTCTGCTCTGATCTTTATTTCTTTTCTTCTGCTAGCATTGTTCTTGTTTTTCTAGCTCCTTGAAGTGTGATGTTACATTGTCAAATTGTGATCTTTCAGACTTTTTTGATGTAGGTGTTTAGCAGTATAAACTTTCCTCTTAGCACTGCTTTTGCTGTGTCCGAAATTTTGATAATTTGTGTCATTATCATCATTCATGTCAAAGAAGTTTTCAATCTCAATCTTGATTTCATTGTTAACCCCAAAATTATTCAGGAGCAGATTGTTTAATTTCCATGTATTTGCACAATTTTCAGGTTTCTTTTGGAGTTGAATAATAGTTTTATTCCACTGTGGTCTAAGAAGATACTTGATATAATTTTGATTTTTTCAAGATTTATCAAGACTTGTTTTGTGGCCTACCATGTGGTCTATCTTAGAGAATGCTCCGTGTGCTGAGAAGAATATGTAGTCTGAAGCTCTTGGGTAGAATGTTCTGTAAATATCTGTTAGATCCATTTGTTCTAGAGTGCAGTTTAAGGCCAGAGTTTCTTTGTGGGCTTTCTGCCTAAATGATCTGCCTAGTGCTGTCAGTGGAGTGTTGAAGTCCTCCACTATCGTTGTGTTGCTGTTTGTCTCTTTTCTTAGGTCTAGTAGTAATTGTTTTATAAATCTGGGAGCTATAGAGTTGGGTTATAGTTAGGTTATATTTTATATATATATATATATATATATATAACATATATATGTTACTTATTAGGTTAAGTTATATATATCATATATATTATATGCTCAGTTCAGCATATACTATATATGCAGTATATAGCATATACAGCATATATATAGTATATGCTGAACTACAGTACATAACAAATACGGCATATATAGTATATGCTGAACTACTGTATATAGCATATACTATATATCAGTATATGCTGAACTGTTAACATATATCAGTATATATCAATTCAACAAGAAGATATTATAACCTATAATATACAATATATATGTTATATATTATAGGTTGTTATATATTACAGGTTATAATATCTTCTTGTTGATCATTTTATCATTATATAATGACTGTCTTTTGTTTTTACTTTTGTTGCTTTAAAATTTGTTTTAACTGCTAAAAGAATAGCATCTTCTGCTCATTTTTGGTTTCCATTTGCTTGGAATATCTTCTTCCATCCCTTTACCTTGAGTCTATAAAAATCCTTGTGTTAGGTAAGTCTCTTCATGACAGCAGATATTTGGTTTGTGATTATTTTTAGCCACACTGCCAATCTGTATCTTTTAAGTAGTGCATTTAGACCATGTAAATTCAATATTACTATTGAGATGTGAGGTACTGTTCCAGTCATCATATTGATTGTTATCTAAATACTTTGTTTTCTTTATTGTGTTATTGTTTTCTAGGCCCTGTGAGTTCTATACTTTCAAGAGGTTCTATTCTGGTGCATATTGACTTTTTGTTTCAAGATTTAGAACTCCTCTTTGCATTTTCTGTAGGCCTTGTCTGGTAGTGACAAATTCCCTCAGCATTTGCCTGTCTGAAAAAGACTTCATTTATGAAACTTAGTTTTGTTGAACACAAAATTATTGGCTGACAATTACTCTGTTTAGGGAGGCTAAAGATTCCAGTCTCTTCTGGCTTCTAATGTTTCTGGTGACAAGTCTGCTGTTAGTCTGACACATTTGCCTTTATAGGTTACCTGATATTTTTCTATCACTGCTCTTAGAATTATTTCTTTCACATTGACTTTAGATAGCCTGATTACTATATGCCTTGGAAATGTCCTTTTTGCAATGAATCTCCTAAGAGTTCTTTGAGCTTCTTATATTTAGATAGATGTCTAAATCTCTAGCATAACCAAGAAAGTTTTCCTCAATTATTTCCTCAAATAAGTTTTTAAAACTTTTTGCCTTTCTTCTCCCTTGGGAACACCAGTGATTCTTAGGTTCGGCCATTTTACATTAATTCTGAATTTCTTGGCGACTTTGCTCATTTCTTTCAATTCTTTTTGCTTTATTTTTGTTTGATCGAGTTAATTTTAAAGGCTTATCTTCAAGCTCTGAAATTCTGCCTTCTAGTTGGCCTAGTCTATTATTAAAACTTTCTACTGCATTCTGTAATTCCCTAAATGTGTCTTTCATTTCCAGAAGTTCTGGTTGGTTTGTCATTACAATATCTATCTCTTTAGAAAATTTCTTATTCATATCCTGAATTGTTTTTTTTTTTAGTTTATGTTGAATTTCACCTTTCTTTTGTATCTCCTTGAGTAACTTAATAATCAACCTATTCTTTACCTGGTATGTCAAATATTTCATCTTGGCCTAGGTCCATTGCTGGAGAGCTAGTATGATCTTTTGGGTATGTTATGGAATCCTGTTTGGTCATGTTGCCAGAATTATTTTTCTGGTTCCTTTTTATATTGGTAGACTATTTCTTCTAATTATTTTTAAGTTTATTTTTAATTTGGCTGTGTTTTTTTTTATTTCTTTTTTCTCCCTTTGAGGGTATATTTTTAATGATTGTGGTTTATAGTAACCTAATTTGGCTCTGGGTGCTTTCAGGGATGAAGACTCTGTATGAGTTCCTTGTTTATAGAGAGTCTTTATATTATGGCCTTTTCAGCTGCTGGTTGTAGTGACAATGTGCTCAGTGTATGAGCAGGTTCATTGTTTCCTGTGTGGTTGAAAGGGCAGAGTTCTCTTGAAGTTTATCTTATTCCCCAGTGGTGTGCATTTATTTATTTATTCTCCCCCTCTACCCGCCAGGATTTTATTTACTGAGTTGAACAGTTCAGGCTTCAGCCCACTAGGGGAGGTGTTTATGGGTAAAAATCAGCTGTGGTTAAAGCAGATGGGTAAATGCCATATTCAGTGGTGGACAGAGGTTCCAGACTTGACAGAGGCAGCTCAGGGAGCTCTTAGTGAAACAGACTGAGGTATTTTCAGGCAGAAAGGAGAGAACCACCTCAGCTCCCCTACCAAGCCAGTAATCTGCCTCCCAGTCACACCCTTGACCCAATGTTTGGCTATTCAGATCAGACAAGTGCCTCTTTTTATCTGTAGGAATGCTGATGTTCTTTGTAGAGAAGGATTATGACTCTAACCTTTATACAAGCCTGAACTTGGAGGACACTCCTCCTATGGGGATGCAATCACTCTGCAGTGTTTCAAAGAGGCTGTCTACAGGTGCACCCATGCTGAGATCCCATGGGAGAAGCCCCAGTGAGCTGTTTCTGCAGTGGTGGGTGAGGGAAATAAGAAGACCCTTTTCCAAGACCTTTCATGAACACCAGGCTGCCTGACTGTTGGGGAAGAGCCACAGACTTTCCCCACTGAGCCCAGCACTGCACCTTTGCCTCTGTTGAAAAAATCTTCCCACAAGCAGAAAGTTCAGAAAAGCAAGTCCTGCCCTCTGGATTATAATGTCCCACAGGGTGCTCCCTTGATGTACTACATTCCCCCTTCCCCTAGAAGTAGGAGTCCTTGAGGACCAGACTACTGTGAATCCTGCTGTTCCTCTGGGTCTAGCCACCCAATGGTACTGCCACACTCCAGGCTGGTACTGGGGAATTTCTGCAAGGGATCCAGAGATGTGACCTGTCCTCTAGTCTCCCAGAAGCAGGTACTAGCACCAGCTCTGATGGGGGTGGCAGGGGAGTGATGCAGACTCTGAAATTCTTTGGTTATAAATAGCCTTAGTTCATTGGCTTCCTCAAATAATGGTTGTAGTAGTAATGAATTGGTCACATGGACAGACTCAGGACCTCCTGGCTAGCAAGGTTCATGCAGGCAATAGTGATAAGCTATGATCGTACACAAGTTTCCTCCTTCTTAGGTGCAATGTTGTTGTGCCTGCAGATGCTGTAATGGACTGTGTCAGTTGGCCTCCAGCCAAGAGGTGGCACTTGCCAAAGAGCACCAGCTCTGGTGGCAGGAGTGGAATATGTGCTTGCCTTATATCACCCAGGGGAAGCATTCTGGTGTCTCAGGCAATGGGCAGGGCATAAAGCTCCCAAAACTTCTGTCGCTTGTGTTATGCTACCAGGAGCGGTGGAGGGGCAAAGTCAGATAGGAGCTAGGTCAGGCAAGTCCACACTGGCTCCAGTCATGTGGGGCAAGCAGCAGTCCCAGTGGGGATAGGAGGGCAGTTCCCTAGCCACTGGAGTAATGTTCCAGGGAGGAGCACAGCTGCCTCTGCTGCACAGAAATGTCCACCCAGGGAGTGGGGAGTAACAGGCATGCACTTGGCAAGGCAAGTCTCACACCACAGTGTTCCACTAGCAGCAGCTAGCTAGGTTCCGGGCAGTCTGTGCTCAGAACTCAAATCTGCCCCAGGCCATAAGCCTTCCCCATGGAGACAGAAACCGTGGCTTTCAAGCCATGCAGTTCCCAGTCTGCTCGTGAAACAGGAGCACCCACCTCCTGTGCCCCTGGCTACAGCCCACTTCCCATTCACCCCTCAGTTCTGGCCACGGTAGTTTATCCCTGCTTGAGATTATATTACAAATCTCAGTTGGGAGCTTCTCTCAACCTATAACCACTGCCTGAGTTAGCTGGCGGACTTCCACAAGGTCCCCTGAGAAGTAGGATCAGGAATGGCTTCCCTCCATCCCTACTGGAGTCTAAGAGTGCACGCAAAGCATGTCCTGATGCCGCTCCTCATCTTCTCCCTACCACTCACTAAGTCAGCTGCAGCATTGAGTAGGGTTAAGGCCTTTCCCCCATGGCCTGGATTGCCTGGCTCCCCTGTGGGAGTATATATCCCAGAGGCAGTTTATCCCCTTCTCCCACTCTAGGGACTTAAACAATTTTCTGCCTGGTTCACAGTGCAGGTTGCAGCCCATCACTTCTTTCAAAGGTTCTGGGGTTTCTTTCAGTTTTCCTGTTAAGTTTCTGTGTTGCTTCCTGGAAAAAAGTTCACAGCATGAATGTCTACATACTATTTTGTCTTTCCAAGTGAGAGAGGCATGCTAACAATGTTTCCAAGCTGCCATCTTGGACCTAACTGGCATCTTCTTTTGTTTCAGTTATGACAATTTAGAGTGGCTGCTCATGCTCTTTGTCTGCCTTTGCATTTTTTTACATCCACCTACCAGTATTTTGGAAGAAAACAAAGAAACAGGATTGTGGAAAGATAGTAGGCCATGAAAACATAGAGACCTCCTTCCACAGACATTTAAAATGCAAAACCATGAAAGTGTGTGTCTGAGCTTGGTGGGAGTAAGGGGGTAAACTCCAGGTGCAGAAATAAAGCAGGAACTGAAAACTAGGGTGGTAATTATGTGAGCAGATGCTGTGATAGTCCAAGGCATGTTTATTAGTCTCCATAATCCTCTTGAGTTTCACTTCCTAAGGAGAGGTAGATGGTAATTCCTTCAGGCCTATGTGAGGTAAAGTTGAAACTGAAAATCTCTCTGTAAAACCAAGAATCTCAAAGGGACACCCCTCAGTGAAGCAGGGAGAAGGCCAGAAAGACTTTCGCTCAGTGAAAAAACATATATGTCACTAAGAAATCAAAACCCTGGTTCTATACCTCGCACAAGCTAAGGACTGGAATCATATAACCCTCGTAGTCTAGGAATTCCCATGCCAAAAAATTAACATTAGAAATTAGTCCATGCAGGTCCTTCCCATGTGTGCAGGACACAAAGCTACTATCGAAGGACACTCCTATAACATATATAACATGGGATTACCAAAAAGCAGCCAAGCCCCACACAACCCATCATTAGTGAATGTCAAAAGACAGACAAAAAGAAGGTCAGCTACACCCCCAATGACTTGAGATGAAAGAGCAACCAGAAAAAGATGATAAAATCAGTACATTTAAAAGTATTCAAAACATATCCTATGAAAATACCAAGAAAATAAGACCCTAAGAGAAAAAAGTGGAGATTTTACAAAATCTAAATGGAACTTATAGAAAGAAAAAAATATATAGTCCTTGAGATTTTGGTAAAACATGACAGATTTAACACAAGCGCTTATTCTACTTCTGAAACCCGACCAAAATGAAAGTAAAGAAAAATTTTTTAAAGGCTTAAATATGTAAGGTCATGACAATGGAAGAGAAGACAATAAATGCCAACAAAATTTTGGAAGCTAGAACTAGGATCAATAAATGATAGTTGATTTATTGAGCTGGAGAAAGTAGAAATCCAAACCTATGGTGTTGATGTGAGAGAGAGAGTGGTGGAAAATAAAGGAAATGAAAAATAATCAAGGTAATTCAAGTTACTGAACCCCAGGAAGTCAAGTAATTAAGAGCACCAGGACCTCTAAAGACAGGGAGAGCAGCAGACCAAAGAAGAATTGGTTGGAAATCTTTAAAAAGTAAGATTAAATCCCCCAAATACTCTTCTAACACCCAAGTAGCCAAGTGGCTACTTCTAATTCACCAGGCAGAAGAGTGCAAGTTAAACCAGACAAGTCTGGACTTGTGGATGCCAGGCGCTACTGAGGACACATGCTGAAAACAGAAGAATTAAAAGAAAGTTTACATACTGCAAAGGGAGATGCCCTCACTTTTAGCCCCCTCCCTCTGCCCAGTTCCCGGCATGCTGGCAACCAACTTAATGCAATGCTAAAATGAAAGAGAAAATATTAAAAGTAAAAACAACAAAGAAATACATATTATTTACAAGAAACAAAAATTAGACAATTATCAGATTTATCAACAGCAACATTTAAGGTGGGATGGTCAACAATTCTAGTTTTCCTGAGACTGAGAAGATTTCAAGGTCTCCGGACTTTTTAGTGCTGAAATCAGGAAAGTCTTCATAAACTGAGACAAGTTGGTCACCCTAATGCAATGCAAGAAGACAACAAAAAAGTATCTTAAAAGTGCCAAAGGAAAAAAGGAAAAAAAAATCTGTATACCTTGAATTCTCTATATATCTAAAGTACCCACAATTGACTGAGAAATTAAGAAATTTTCAGACAACTATGACTAAAGAGTTTACTGTTTGTAGACCCTTGCAAAACAATTACTAAATGATATATTTTAGAAAGTGGAAAGTTGAATCCAAAAGGATGGAGTGGAAGGCAAGAAGCAATTATGAACAAATAAATTGTTAAACATCTAACAAATCAAAATAATGATAGACTATATAAAATAGTATTAATAATGATGACTAACTTAGGGCATATGGAAATAGAATGAAAATAAATAAAAATCACAGTGGACTAAAGGGAGTTCTTATATTTTTCTAGGGGTTGAGTAGTGATTATGATAACATTAGAAATTAAGTCAACTGTGATGGTTAATATTAGGTGTCTACTCTACTGGATTGAGAGATGCCTAGATGGCTGAAGAAGCATTGTTCCTGGTGTGTCTGAGAGGGTGTTACCAATGGAGAATGACATTTGAGTCAGTGGACTGGGAGAGGAAAACCCACCCTCAACGTGGGTGGGCAC
This sequence comes from Homo sapiens, assembly GCF_000001405.40. Classification (NCBI taxonomy): domain Eukaryota; kingdom Metazoa; phylum Chordata; class Mammalia; order Primates; family Hominidae; genus Homo; species Homo sapiens. The sequence goes on along the minus strand of NC_000012.12, from coordinate 46,106,816 downwards.
CATCCAATTGGCTGCCAGCTCAGCTGGAAGAAAGAGAGAGAACCTTCCCACTCTCTCTCTTCCCATGCCATGCTGGACACTTGGCTTCCTCTCCTGCCCTTGGACATCAGCCTCCAAGTTGTTTGGCCTTTGGACTCTGAGACACCCATCAGAAGCCCCTCCCCCTGGTTCTCGGGCCTTTAGCCTCAGAGAGAAGGCTACACTGTTGGCTCCCCTGGTTTTGAGGCTTTCAGACTTGGACTGAGCCACACTACTGGCTTCTCTCTTTCTCCAGCTTTTATCTCAAGGGAAGCCCGTGAGACTAACAGCAGAACTCTCAGCAGAAACTCTACAAGCCAGAGGATATTGGGGGCCAATATTCAACATTCTTAAATAAATAATTTAAAGTTAAAGTTAGTAGGGGTCAGGTGTGGTGGCTCACATCTGTAATCCCAACACTTTGGGAGACCCTGGTGGAAGGATCACTTGAGGCCAGGAGTTTCAGACCAGCCTGGACAACATAGTCAGACCCATCTTTACAAAACAATTAAAATATTAGCTGGGTGTGGCAGTGTGTGGCTTTAGTCCTAGCTACTTGGGTGGCTGAGGTGGGAGAATCTCTTCAACCCAGGAGTTGGAGGCTGCAGTGAGCTATGATTGTACTACTGTACTCCAGCCTGGGAGACAGAGGAATACCTTGTCTCATAAAATAATAAATAAATGAATAAAGTTAATGAGAATAAACCTACCCTGCACTCACAAGAGGTGCAGCTGGCATCATCGTTCTTGCCTACCAGACCATAAACATCTTGAAGGCAGAGCACAAGTTTCTTGTATTATAGTCATGTCCTCAGAATCCACTTTAGTCTCTGACACATATCAAATGTTCAACAGATATATGATGCAATCATTGATTCATTAATTCACTTATTCGTTTAACAAATACTGAGCTTCAGCTGTGTGCCAGACTTTATGTTAGATGATGGATAGATACAGCACTACAGGCAAACTTCTTGTCCTCAAAGAGCTTACATTCTGGTGGGAGAAGACAAGAAATAAGCAACTTTGAAATAATATGTCAGGTAATTACATGAAAAAGCATTTAAAAAGGATAAGCAGAATAAAAAATATTGGGTTTAGGGCGAGTTGCTATTTTGGTCAAAGGTCTCTCTAATAAGGAAAACTTTGAAAAGAAACCTGAGGCTGGGCGCAATGGCTCATGCCTGTAATCTCAGCACTTTGGGAGGCTGAAGCGGACTGACTACATGAGGCCAGGAGTTCAAGACCAGCCTAGCCAACATAGAGAAACCCCATCTCTAATAAAAATATGAAAATTAGCCGGGCATGGTGGTGAGCACCTGTAGTCCCAGCTACTTGGGAGGCTGAGGCAGGAGAATCGCTAGAACCCTGCAGACAGAGGTTGCAGTGAGCGGAGATCATGACACTGCACTCCAGCCTGAGCAACAGGGCAAGACTCCGTCTCAAAAAAATAAATAAATAAATAAAAAAGAAAAGAAAAGAAACCTGAAGGAAGTACAGGGGGTGGTCCAGATGGATATCTAGGATAAGTGCAAAGGGCTTGAGGCAGGGGAGAATTTGGCGAGGGGGTTAGAGTGCCACAGTGCCTCTCTTAAAAGAGAAAGAAAAAGTGCCTCTCAAACAAGGAGAGAAAGTGTACACCTGATTCTGTGGAGACAACAAATATTCCTACTTATACTCTTTTGGGGACAAAGTCACCAGCAATATTACATAAAAATAGTATGTATAATCAAATAGAGCTACCCAGCATTTGAGATGGGGCATCCCTTCTTGGAGTGCAGAAAGAGGGAAATATGACTTGATTGATAGGGAAGGAGAGTAGAAAGGGTCTCTCTTTCTCATATTAAAGCCTGTATACTACACAAAATACAATCCCTAGAGGATATTAACTATTTATGAAAGCCAAATATATGCTCTCAACCTATGACACTTGAATTCTGAGCAAGAGGGTGTAACTGCTCTATCTTCAAGCCTTGCATCCCTGGAAAGCAAAAATCACAAAGAAAAGATACAGGGAAAAACAGGAGGCAGTCACAAGCTAACTGTAATGTTTCAGTTTTATTAGACATACACTTCTTTAAAAAAGAAGGTAAGCGTCTACTTCTGAGGTTTTTATAGCCAATATTATTCATTTACCATTTCTTATGTTACAATGACCAATCAAATGTGCAAATGAGTAATTATAAACCTGGCCATTAGAGACTAAGAAGTTATTTTCCATGGTTATTCATCTTTGTAATAACAAGATTCCATTTATTTTTATTGCTAAAAATACAACTAATAACATCATCAAAATTCAAAAAGTTAGATACAAAACATTAAAAATAAAATCCCTGTTGGAATACAGAATAGCTAGGCCATAGTATAATTGTGTGCCTGTAATCTAATTATTGATACAATCAATACCTCCTGGTTTCCCTGGGCCTATATACATCTGAAAGAGTAATCTGCTCAAGGCCTTCACTTCTGTATATAAGGGAAGAGAAACACTAGACGGGAGACATTGCATTTTTGGACAGCCTGCACACAGCCATCAGTGTATCTGGCAAGAGCAATACATTAGAGCTCATTACTTCTGCATGTGAATAGAGGGATAGAGTCACAAACATACTGAATTGCAGCTTCATAAAAATTATGCTGTCATACTGGTAAATTAGAATTGAATTTCAAGCCTAGAGTCAGTAGTTAAAAGAATCCAAGTCCAGGTGCCATTAAAAATCTACCAAGCTATTCTACTCAAAGCTTCAGGGTGGAGCCACATACACCAGACTGATTGCTTCTCAGCCAATGGTCAGAGGAAATCCATCCCACTCCAAAAGACTAAAAACACTATTTATTTACTTGAAAGAGATTTAAGAGACAAGTAGCTGGGACATGTGCCATTTTTTGGAAATAATGACGAGCTAAGTCACCCCATTTCTGGCTCCAAATGTGAATATTATATAAAAGAGAATAGGGCCATTTGTATTTGGTATTGGCTTCTTCCTCCCCTCTTTCTCTGCCAGAATTCTCTTGCTCTACATTTGCCTTCAGGGTTCAGGGGAGTATCATCTCTGTCGTCTGGCCTCTGCACATGAATAGAAGTAGTTTTCCATTTGCTAAATTATGTATGAGCTCAGCTGCTGTTTGGATTTTTTTTATTGAATAATTTTTTACATAAATATTTTATAAGCAGCCACAGGCTATTGGTATTTGACACATTTCAGAAAATTAAAGAATAAAATTTAAATTGTAGTATAAGAAGACAAAAGAATCATCATGTCCTTGTTGATAAAACATTCACACTATACCCTCAGTAGATGAATTTAGACATGGTTTAAATAGACTGCTTCTTAAACCATGTTTTTTGAATTTAGATAAATTCTCCTTTAATAGGAAAGTAAAGAAAATTATAGCACTTTATTTTCTACTTTGACATTCAGTAGTAAGTTGGATTTTTATGTTCTTGGTGCTTTCAGAATTAGATGTAGGTTCTGGGCTTTATTCTGCATCTCAAATTTGCTAGTTTACATTGTTTTAAAGATAGTGCACTAGTAGTGGTTCTTATTAATAATAAACTGTCTACTATTTTCCAAATTCCCTATATTTGACCTAAAATTGAATGTTTGAATTATTTTTAAAATATCAACTTAGTGCTTTCCAGCTATGGTGTGAAATTAAAAAGATGGAGACCGAGAAGTCAAATGCCTTTAGAAACTGACTGAAAAAGGAGGACGAGAGAGGTCAAATAAAACACTAATATTGTGGCCGGGCGCGGTGGTTCACGCCTGTAATCCTAGCACTTTGGGAGGCCGAGGCGGGTGGATCACGAGGTCAGAAGATCGAGACCATCCTGGCTAACAGAGTGAAACCCCGTCTCTACTAAAAATACAAAAAAATTAGCTGGGCATGGGGGTGGGCGCCTGTAGTCCCAGCTACTCGGGAGGCTGAGGCAGGAGAATGGCGTGAACCCAGGAGGCGGAGCTTGCAGTGAGCCGAGATCGCGTCACTGCACTCCAGCCTAGGCGACAAAGCGACACTCTGTCTCAAAAAAAAAAAAAAAAAAAACACTAATATTGCAACTCCATGCAGGTTCAGTCGCTCACCACTTGCAAAGTCAGATAACAAGTACAAGGTGTGGTAGAAGAAAACTCACTTTATTCCAGAGCTAACAGTGGGGAAATGGCCCCGGCTCTCAAACGGGAAAGGTTCCCTTGTCCCCCATCGCGGGGTGTGCGACAGGGGGAGTGGCTCGCTTCTTCAGTGCCCCACTGCTCAAACCTCTAGGGAAGCATGCAGACAGGCAGGCTGTGGAGCTCCAACCCCACGGTAGCATCTAGGGATGGATGTTTACAGCTCCTGAGGCCCCAGTGGGCCTGTGCTACCTCGTGCTCTTTTATTTTTGCCATCTATAGGCAGCTTGTGTTAACCAGCTCAATTAGACCCTCTACCTTGTCGCAGGGACAGAGGGCTTTCTGTATCTCGGGTTCTTGCCTTGGTCTACCAGAAGAATCGGGTCACACCTGGGCTTGGAGAATGAGTGCAGGTTTTATTGAATGGAGGTAGCACTCAGCAAATGGGGGAAGCCAGAAGTGGATGGAGTGGGAAGGTTTTCCCCTGAAGTTGGGCCACTCAGCGGCCCAGGCGTCTTCCAACCCCCTCAGCTAAACTCCACGTTCCACCGGGAGAATGGCCTGCTGGCATGCTGGTGTTCTCGACATCCTCTGGACATCCAGCCGCTTGTGTGTTCTTCCGCTGATGTGTTTCTCTCCACGTCCAGCCGCTTGTGTGTTCCTGCTAGGGTCTTGGGGTTTTTATAGGCACAGGATGTGGGCATGGCAGGCCAGGGTGGTCTTGGAAAATGCAACATTTGGGCCAAAGGCAGGAGTGCCTGTCCTCACCTAGGTCCGTGGGCACAGGCCTGAGGGTGAAGCCCTAGCCCAGGACCCGCTTTTCTCTACCCAGCACGTCCCTGTCCCCCTCCCATAACAGCTTCATGCCTTAGAGAAACCATTTCAAATTTTGGACAGAATGCAACGGCTTAAAAAGGAAAGCTTAGTAGAGGGAGAATGCAGGAGGGGCAAGAAGTTGCAGGTCTACGTGACTTGCACCAATGACTTGTCCTGAGTCATTGCCCCCTCTGGTGAATGGGCTGGGGCATCCTGGCGTAATCAGGTTGTAAATTAACTGCAACCTTGAGGTATTCTCCTGGTGGGGAAAAATTCTATAGGTGCTTGGATTGTTTTAAGATTCAGTCCCTGGAACTTCTAAGCAAGTGTATAATTAGATAAGGAGGACATTGTACCTGGTGGAAAGAAAGAGAGCAAAGGTCATATTTCATTTGTAAGAAATTAAACATAAAGTAAATAAGGAGGAAAAAGAAAAAGTGTGATGGTTAATATTAGGTGTCAACTTGACTGGATTAGGGATGCCTAAATGGCTGGTAAAGTGTTGTTCATGGGTGTGTCTGTAAGGGTGTTGCCAAGGGAGACTGACATGAGTCAGTGGACTGGAAGAGAAAGACCCACCCTCAGTGTGGGTGGGCACCATCCAATTGGCTGCCAGCGCAGCTGGAACAAAGCAGGCAGATGAAGAGGGATAATTACTTTGCTGCTGAGTCTTTCCACTCTCTCTCTTCTCCTGCTGGACACTTGGCTTCCTCTCCTCCCACCCTCGGACTTCACACTCCATGTTCTTCAGTCTTTGAACTCTGGAACTTGCAGCAAAAGACTTGTGGGGCTCCCAGGCCTTCAGACTGAAGGCTGCGCTGTCAGTTTTCCTCGTGCTGAAGCTTTTGGAGTTGGACTGAGTCACTGCCAGTTTCTGTCTTTCACCAGCTTGCAGATACCCTATTGTGGGACTTTGCCTTGTAATCATGGGAGTCAATTCTCCCTAATAAACTTTCTTTTATATATACACATATCCTATCAATTCTGTCCCTGTAGAAAACCCCAACTAATACAGAAAGGAACAAAAAAATATTTAAAAATAGGGTACTCATTACAACTCCCCACTGCCAAATTCCATTCCATTTCTGTGGAACATGGGCGATGTGTTCATTCTGCCTACTTCCTGCTGAATGAGGATGTAGTTAAAGGACATTGTCATGGAACTGATCTACTGGAACTGGAAATATTCTCACATACCTGGGCTGACAGATGAAAACTGTTGGAGATTTGCAAGTCTCTGGGAGAGTTTACCTTGCATTTCCATGCAGAATGTACAACAGCAGTAGAATCTGCAGCAAAGAAGTATGCCTATTCCCGCAATTATGATCAAGGTCACAAGTAACTTTTCCCACCAGGATGGTTCTGACCCAAACCAGGGCACAAACCATTGATCTGGTGACAATGTGGGATCAGACATAGCTTTAATTTGTTTATGCATATCTTGCAGGGCTAATGAGATTTCCTGAGTTGTCTAGGATGTATACATACACTACTCAGGTTTTCAATAGTTTTGGGGTAAGAGGTGGCCTTTAGTTACATGAAAAGTTTTAATGGTAATTTCTGAGACTTGGAGCACCTGTCACCCAAGCAGTGTACACTGTACCCAATGTGTAGTCTTTTATACCTAACCCCACTCCCACACTTCCCCGAGTCCCCAAAGTCCATTATATCATTCTTATGCCTTTTCATCCTCATAGCTTAGCTCCCATTTATAAATGAGAACATAGGATATTTGGTTTTCCATTTCTGAGTTACTTTGCTTAGAATAATGGTCTCCAACTCCATCCAGGTTGCTGCAAATGCTATTATTTTGTTCCTTTTTATGGCTGAGTAGTATTTCATGGTTATATATATATATCGCATTTTCTTTATCCACTCATTGGTAGATGGGGATTTAGGCTGGTTCCATATTTTGGCAATTGAGATTTGTGCTTCTATAAACTTGCATGTGCAAGTGTCTTTTTTCATATAAGGACTTATTTTCCTCTGGGTAGATACCTAGTCATGGGATTGCTGGATTTAATGGTAGTTCTACTTTAGTTCTTTAAGGAATCTCCATAGTGTTTTCCATTGTGGTTCTACTAGTTCACATTTTCACCAGCAGTGTAGAAGTGTTCCCTTTTCACCACATCCACACCAACATCTGTTATTTTTTTATTTTTTAATTATGGTCATTCTTGCAAGAATAAGGTGGTATCTCCTTGTGGTTTTAATTTGCATTTCCCTGATAATTAGTGATGCTGAGCATTTTTCATATGCTTGTTGGCCATTTGTATATCTTCTTTTGAGAATTGCATATTCATGTACTTTGGTCAATTTTTGAAGCAATTATGTGCTTTTTTCTTACTGATTTATTTGAATTCATTGTTAATTCTGGATATTAGTCCTTTGTTGTATGCATAGTTTTCAAATATTTTCTCCCATTTTGTGGGTTGACTGATTGCTGATTATTTTTTATTGTTGTTGTGCAGAAGCTGTTTAATTTAATTAGGACCTATTTATCAATTTTTGTTTTGTTGCATTTGCTTTTGAGTTCTTGGTCATGAAATTTTTGCCTAAGCCAATGTCTAAAAGAGTTTTTCTAATGGTACCTTCTAGAATTTTTACGGTGTCAGGTATTAGATTTAAGTCTTTGATCCATCTTGAGTTGGTTTTTGTATAAGGTGAGAGATGAGGATCCAGTTTCATTCTTCTACCTGTGGCTTGCCAATTAACCCAACACCATTTGTTGAATAGAGTGTCCTTTTCCTACTTTATGCTTTTGTTTGCTTTGTCAAAGGTCAGTTAGCTGTAAGTATTTGGCTATATTTTGGGGTGCTCTATTCTATTCCATTGGTCTATGTGCCTATTTTTATACCAGAACCATGTTGTTTTGGTAACTATAGCCTTCTAGTTTAGTTTGAGATTGGGTAATTTGAACAAATCCAGATTTTTTCCTCTTCCTTAAGATTTCTTTGGCTATGCAGGTTCTTTTTTGGTTTCATATGAATTTTAGAATTGTTTTTTCTAGTTCTGTGAAGAATGGTGATGGTACTTTGATGGGAATTGCATTGAAATCTGTAGATTATTTTTGGCAGCATGGCCATGTTCACAATATTGATTCTACCCATCCATGAGTATGGGATGTGTTTCTGTTTGTATCCTGAAATGTTACTGAATTCATTTATCAGATCTAGGAGCTTTTTGGATGGATCTTTAGTTTTCTAGGTATACAGTCCTACCAAGATCTAAATCATATCATTGGTGAACAGCAACAGTTTGACTTCCTCTTTAACAATTTGGATGCCCTTTATTACTTTCTCTTGTCTGATTGCTCTGGCTAGGACTTCCAGTTCTATGTTGAATAGAAGTGGTGAAAGTGGGCATCCTTGTCTTGTTCCAGTTCTCAGGGGGAATGCTTTCAACTTTTCCCCATTCAGTATAGTGTTGGCTGTGGGTTTGTCATAAATGGCTTTTATTTTTTATTTTTTTATTTTTTTGAGACGGAGTCTTGCTCTGTCGCCCAGGCTGGAGTGCAGTGGCTTGATCTCGGCTCACTGCAAGCTCCACCTCCTGGGTTTCACTCCATTCTCCTGCCTCAGCCTCCCGAGTAGCTGGGACTACAGGCAGCTGCCACCATGCCTGGCTAATTTTTTGTATTTTTAGCAGAAACAGGGTTTCACCGTGTTAACCAGGATGATAAATGGCTTTTATTACCTTGAGGTATGTCCCTCCTATGCCAATTTTGCTGAGGGTTTTAATCATAAAGTGATGCTCAATTTTGTCAAATACTTTTTGTATGTCTATTGAGATGACCATACAGTTTTTGTTTTTAATTCTGTTTATTTATCATATTTATTGACTTATCATATGTATTGACTTGCATATATTAAATCATCTCTGCCTCCATAGGATGAAACCACTTGATCATGATGTGCTCTCTTTTTGATGTGCTGATGGATTTAGTTAGCTAGCTTTTTGTTGAGGATTTTTGCATCTATGTTCATTGGGGATATTGGTCTGTAGTTTCCTTTTTTATGTCCTTTCCTGATTTTGGAATTAGGGTGATATTGGCTTCATATAATAATTTAGGGAGAATTTCTTCTTTCTCTATGTTTTGGAATAGTTTCAGTAAGATTGGTATCAATTCTTCTTTGAATGTCTGATGGAATTCAGCTGTGAATGCATTTGGTCCTGGACTTTTTTTGTTGGCAATTTTTTAAATTACTGTTTCAATCTCTCTTGCTATTGGTCTGTTCAGAGTTTCTGTTTCTTCCTTATTTAATCTAAAGGGTTGTTTATTTCCAGGAATTTATCCATCTCCTCTAGATTTTCTAGTTTGTGCATGTAATGGTGTTCATAATAGCCTTGAATCACCTTTTGTATTTCTGTGGTATGTTATAATAGCTCCTATTTCATTTCCAACTGAGCTTCTTTAGACCTTCTCTCTTCTTTTCTTGGTTAATCTTACTAATGGTCTTGCTAATGGTCAATTTTGTTTATCTTTTCAAAGAACAAGCTTTTTGTTTTATTTGTATTTTGTAATTTTTTGTTTGTTTCTTTCAATTTCATTTAGTTCTGCTCTGATCTGTGTTATTTCTTTTCTTCTGCTGGGTTTGGGTTTCGTTTCTCTTTGTTTCTCTAGTTCCTTGAGGTGTGATCTTAGATTGTCTATTTGCACTCTCTCAGACTTTTTGACGTAGACATTTAATGCTATAAACTTTCCTCTTAGCACCACTTTTTCTATATTTCAGAGGTTTTGGTAAGTTGTGTCACTATTATTCAGCTCAAATAATTTTTTAATTTTCATCTTGATTTCATTGTTGACCCAAAGATCATTCAAGAGCAGATTATTTAATTTCCATGTATTTGCATAGTTTTGAGGGTTCCTTTTGGAGTTAATTGCCAGTTTTATCCCACTGTGGTCTGAGAGGCTACCTGATATAATTTCAGTTTGCTTAAATTTATTGAGACTTGTTTTGTGACCTATCATGTGGTCTATCTTGGAGAATGTTCCATGTACTGATGAAACTAATGTATATTCTGCAGTTGTTGTGTAGAATGCTCTGTAAATAACTGTTAAGTTCCTTTCTCTAGGGTATAGTTTAAGTCCATTGTTTCTTTGTTGACTTTCTGTCTTCATGACCTGTCTAGTGCCATCATTGGAGTATTGAAATCCCCCACTGTTATTGTGTTGCTATCTATCTTATTTCTTAGCTGTAGTAGTAATTGTTTTATAAATTCAAGAGCTCCAATGTTAGGTGCATATATATTTAGGATTGTAATATCTTCCTGTTGGACTAATCCTCTTATCATTATATAATGTCCTTCTTTGTCTTTTTTTACTGTTGTTACTTTAAAGTCCATTTTGTCTGATAAAAGAATAGCTACTCCTGCTTG